>NC_000020.11:9308759-9460274 GCF_000001405.40 Homo sapiens | reverse complement strand
CTCCATGACCACTCTGAAAAGGTAGAGCTCCTCTGAGCTGGATGCCTTTAGTGCCCATGACATTTTAAAATATGTGTCATATGCTACTTTGTTATCTGACTTAACTGTTCATATGGGTGTTGTATCTTGCCAACACCTGTAAGCCCTCTGATGGCAGGGGCCATTTCTTTTTTCAAAATAGAGATGGGGTCTTGCTATGTCTTGAAGTCCTGGGCTCAAGTAATCCTCCTGTCTTGGCCTCTCAAAGCACTGGGATTACAGGTGTGAGCCACTGCACCTGGCCCCTGGGTGCCATTTCTTATAGCTCATCTTGCTCATAATCAGCCATATGATGAGATACACAAAAGAGCTACATGTTGTACGTCAAATTGATTTCACTTATTACCTTGGCTCTCTTATACACACAAAATCAGCTTTTGTTTTTAAATATTAGATGTTTACTCTGGAGACGGCAATTCCCCCACCTGTCATGGGACAGTTTCAGCTGCTGGGTTTGCTGCTCGTGGGCATTGATGAGTAGCTTTTTCAGCAGCTCACACTGCTGGCTGAGGTGCAGGTCTCGGATTTCTTGCTCCTCAGCACTGTGGGTATTGATCATTTCTGACCATTCCTTTGTGTGCTGTGCTACAATCTCTTTGACCTGTTTGGGAAAAAGGGGACGGTGCCATTGTAATCCTCATAGGTCAGGTATGAACCCAAAAGCACAACATTATTCAGGTATTTCAGGTTCCTCCCACCAACTTAATTGGTGAATCATGAGACACCTATAACCACCAAAAAATAATATGTATTAATCAATGGGAAGCAGGAAGTTATTGCTTATCAAAATAAATCAATTGCTTTGGCTCTGAATAGTTAACTGTGAACCCTTATTTTACTGCCTCACTTAGCAACACTCTGTTTTGTTTTTTGTTTGTTTGTTTTGTTTTTTTAGATAGAGTCTGCCTCTGTTGCCCAGGCTGGAGTGCAGTGGCATGATCTCAGCTCACTGCAACCTCCACCTCCTGGGTTCAAGCGATTCTCCTGCCTCAGCTTCCCAAGTAGCTGGGATTACAGATGCGTGCCACCATGCCCAGCTAATTTTTGTATTTTTACTAGAGACAGGGTTTCACCATGTTGGCCAGGCTGGTCTCAAACTCCCGATCTCAGGTGATCCACCTGCCTCGGCCTCCCAGAGTGCCGGGATTACAGGCGTGAGCCACCACACTCAGCCAACACTCTGATTTGTGTGGGCCTTAGGCTCTTTTACCAATTCCATCAGGATTTTCTTTATCACCTTATGTTTCTCCAGCTTCATGTCCACAAGCCCACATGTCTGAATAGAGAGCTGTGTGTTCTTTTATTTCTGGATCATGACTTACTGTGTCAACCCTGATAGACACTAGGGTAGAAAGTCCTCCCCACCCAATATCCAAGCTCTTTGCAGTGGGGTTTTGCAGTGCCTCTTGTCAAGAGCTGGAGTCTGTTTCTCCAGCTCCTTGAAGCTGGGTGACCTGTGACTTGCTTTAGCCAATGAGATAGTAGCAAATGTGATGCAAGCAGAGGCTGGAAAGTACTTGCCCTTCTGCTATGCTGGGATCCCTGTGGCTACCCTCTGACTGAGCCTGTGCTAGCCTGCTGGAGGTTGATAGGTCATGTAGGAAAACAAGCAACAGCCAGACAACTACCAGATACATAAGTAAGGCCATACGCCCCCTGCTGACAGTAGATACACAAGTGTCTCCAGCCAAAATCAGCAGAAGTATGGCCCAAATTTCTGACCCACTGAATTGTGACCTAATAAACTGTAGTAGTTGTTTCAATGTGCTCTTCTTTGACACAGTTCATTATATAGCAAAAGCAAACTGATACTGTTGCCAAGGCTTTTCTTATTGATGCCAAGCATCTAAGAATCATGACAGTTTGCACAACTACTAATTCTCAAACATTCCAGTTAAGAAGAGAGAGAGTGGGGAATAACTCTTAAAGACACATGCCTTACTGCCTCTATAGAGTTCATGCCCTACAAAACATACAGCTACCAAGAACATCTTGAACATCTTGCCTGCTCCATGCATGCAGCAGGGCCATTAGGCCAGATGACACAGCTGCATATAGATAGATGAGGCTGGCTGGTTCAACCACAGCTATTTTTGGGAGCTTTCTTTAACAGTTGTTGTTGGTTTTTTTTTTCTTTTTTTTTCCTTTTCATTTAAAAACTATCATTGCTGGAAGAATTGTTTTCATTCTTAACTGGGACTTAACACTTAGTTCTCCAAATGCCCACAAAGTTGATTAAAGTCTCTCAAGCTCCTATTTTCTCCTGTCTTTAAGAAAATGTGAGTAATTAGGCTTCTCTTTTAGAATATCAGCTCTTAATTTTTTCTCATTCCAAATTTCCATGTAAAGTTAGGATGGAGTAAGTATCACCTCCCAATTTGGGCGGTTTTCTGTCCTATGTTTAATGTTATTTCTATAGGGAAGTATATTCTGTATTTTATATAATATTTCCTTTTAGTATCTTCATTTATTATTTTCCTTGATGCCTCTGAGGCAGGCAACATAAATATTGTTAGCATAGTTCAACAGACAAGACAAAAGAAGATGTTCCATGAAATGGCTCTTCTTAAAGCCAGTGAGTCTGAGGCAAACATGAACCCTGGGCTCCCCTGACATCCCAGATCAGCTGCAGGCTACTAGACCAGCTCTGGGCTACTGTTATTTCTAATTTACACTAGGTACTCCTTCTAAAAAATTACAAAGTGTCTTCTGCAAGTCACTGCTGTAAAAATGGGCATTTTCTTACCTTAGATTTGTGATCTGATGTCAGCGTCTGAATTTTGATTTCTGTTTCTTTTTTCATTTCGAGACAATTACTTCCCCTGAAAATGGAAAGTTGCAAATGCATGCCAGAAATTAGATATTTTCCCATTCCCATGGGTCTTTGCTACAAAGCTTTCTGATGAAGATAATATATTCATCAAATATGAGATGTCATGGCTCATTGGGCAACACTGGTCTTTCTAGTAATAGATTCACACCTTACAAAATATTATCTGTTTCATGATTACTCAATTCAACCACTATACAAAGAGGCACTTCAAACCTAACAATTATTTCATCATTAAGGGGCTGTTGTCAGTTTCCATTTTGGTTCCTGTTTTTCTCAAGCTATTTTTCACTTATTCAATAAAATATTATTTGGGATGAAAACTGGAAAATAGGTCCTCAGACTTGAAGTGAATTTTTCATTCTTCCATTTCATTATAAAGCCAGATTTTTGTCTTTTAAATATGCCAGTGAAGGAGAAAATAGCAATCCTTGGCACCACAGGGCAATTTTTGCTTCTTATTCTATTGTGAGTAGGAAATATATGCTAGGCGAGTGCCCAGCAACTATTACTGCTTATTTCAGTGATTATGTCTTCCTTTTGGAATATCCACATCGCTGCTGAAACAAGAACAGGTCCTGAGCTTCATCTTCAGCATGTATACTCTAGGTTATTATAGCTCAAGTCAGAATGCTTCCTTATAATATAATTCCAAGTTCCTGTGAGAGAAGCATTACTCTAAAAATGCAAGGTCTCGCATCAAATCTAGCACTTCTCAATGGCTGGCACTGAGCAAGTTTCTTCTCTCTTCTGTTATTCAATAAGTTTGCAGCACTGCCGAAACATTCCCGTGACTTAATTCTAGACAAATCTTTCACAGTAAATGCAATGAGAGGTTTTATTCAACACTCTCATCTGAGGGCATAAGGGCATGCACTTGTAATATTTATTTGAAAATCAAGATTTTATTTTCCCCTTTCTAGTGCATCAACCTTCTTTATATTCGGGCTATGCAAAATAATTTCTGTAATTTAGAATTTTCCCAACTTTAGCTTGTCTTCCCTTGTTCCCCCATTCATCTTTTTACCATCACCTTAAAGATCCTTGAGTGGAAAGCATATGAGAGGTAGTCATTAGCCAAAGCTGGAAGCACTTGAATAAAGCTTCCCTTTCCCAGGTCAATCTTTCCTTTCAGCTGAGTAGGTAAGAGTAAGGGGAAACCTTTCATTTGTTTCAAAAATAGATCCTGCATGAGAAAGCTCCAAGGACTGTCACAGTTTCCCCTTTCACTAACTTTTTAGCAACTCAGTTGCAGTTAAAAGTCCAGGAAGGCTGGGTGCAGTGGCTCACGCTTGTAATTCCAGCACTTCGGGAAGCCAAGGTAGGCAGATCACTTGAGGTCAGGAGTTCGAGACCAGCCTGGCCAACATGGTGAAACCCCATTTCTATTAAAAATACAAAAAATTAGCCGGCATGGCAGCATGTACCTGTAGTCTCAGCTACTCAGGAAGCCGAGGCAGGACGATTGCTTGAACCTGGGAGGCGGAGGTTGCATTGGGCCAAGATTGTGCTACTGCACTTCAGCCTGGGCAACATAGCAAGACTAAGTCCAGGCAACCTTGATATCATGGTGAATATTAATGATGAGAAACTCTCCTCAGATATGGCTTTCCAGAAGAAAGTATCTGATGTCTGATTTTGAAGTAACTTTTAATGTATTGCTAAGATTCTACTCTTTAGAGTACTTGGAAATGCTCTGTGTGAAGAGCCTGCTAGGAGTGCTGCGTTTGACAGCAGAGGCTCAGGAAGAAATCTACAGATTAGACTTTTCCAGTCTCATCTACGTTTAGGATAAAACAGGGCTTTATTTGCTGAGAGACCTCCAAGAGCACTCAATAGCCTGTTTGGGGGGTTAAGTGTCACACCAGGGACACTTCTAATAATTACCAAGTTTATAATAAATTACATTTTGATCCCACATTATCTTTGAGAGTAAAAACAATCATGAGGTAAAGATATATTTTATCAATTTTTTAAAAATTTCTAAAGGTAGCACTCATGATTGATTGAATCAGAAAACTGTAATATTATTTTTAGCAAAGAAATTTACTCTATGGTGCTTGGATCTGAAATCTCCTTAATAAAAATTTTTGGTTTGGTTAAGCCAAAACTGTGTTTCTAAATACACCGATCCACAAAAATGCATGAAACATTTTTTGAAAAGATATCTTGTAAATACAAATAACCTTATTCTTGGAGAGTACTATAAAGTCATCAACAATTTGCTCCTTGGTATTAGAGTCTGTCTACCATCAGTTTCAATATTATAGCCTAAAATGTCATTAAATATGAGAAATTAATTTACAAAAAAGAAATAGGCCAAAGCTGATGTGGTTAGAATCTAGAAGAATCACAGCTCCTCAAAACTTACTGTAATCACTACCAATATTGCCACATGAGCTCCGAGGTGGGTGACTCACTTACTCACTTAAAATACAGATCAAAATGTTTTCTAAGCAACAGGCACATTTCTGCCTCAATAATACACAGTGAAACCTACGGGGAAAACAAAAGGCAGATGATGCATAATAACAGATGCTCAATAATCAGTGCCTGATTTGTATTTTTCTGAAAAATACAACTTTAATAAAAATGAGGGTACCTCTCAAATAGTGAGGCCTGATACCAGGGCAGGCATTTTAGTTACCCACCATTTACTCCTCAAGCAAATTACATTGGTTTCATGTCATGAACTTAGATCTTGGGATCTGAAATTTCGGCAATATGAACCAATGTCCAAGAAAATTATAACTAACATAATCTGTTCTGTTTTCAGAGTTTAGTTTTCTAGGTATATCTTGGGTGACTGTTAAAACAAAAAATAAAAAACAAAAACCAAATGCCAAAAAACCCAAGTAGGAAAAAGAAATCTCATTCTCCTTTTCTCTTGTGCCAAAGGTTGTGGAAAACTAGAAGACATCAGCAGAGATTGAAGGAAAGAGATAAAAACCAGAGGGAATCCCTGGAGAAGGTCAAAGGCAGGAAAAATAATTTCTCAGATAAATAGAATGTATGCGTGGTCTCATGGAATTTTCCCCAAAGTATTTATAAAGGGAAAAAAGTAATCTGACAGTGCAGAAACCTGTAAGATACCAGCTTAACCAAGTCATCCAGGTTAACATCACCAATAATGGGACATATCAATGTCACACCCCCATCCCCCCAATATCGTGGACTGAGAAGGAAGCAGCATTGTTTCCATGGTGTGCTTGCCACAAATGCATAACCTCACTCTCATCATGAGAAAATATCAGACAAATCCAAAAGAAGAGCCATTCTACAAAACAACTGACCAGCTCTCTTCAAAAGTGAAAGTCACAAAAGACAGGGAGAGATTGAGGAATTATCACATACTGAGATGACAACTAAATGCTATTTAATTTTGGAGGTGATCCCAGAGTGGAAAACAAGCACTTGTGGAAAAACTGGTAAAATGTGAAAAATCACTGTGGCTTGGTTAATGGTATTGCACCACTGTCAATTTCCTGGTTTGACAACTGTACTATGATTATGTGAGATGTTAACATTTAGGGAAAGTGAGTTAAGGGCATAAGGGAACTCTGTAGTATTTTGGAAACTTTTCTGTAAATTTAAAATTAGTTCAAAATCAAAAAGGACAATCAATTCTCAGAGTAAAGAGGTATTTTTTCAATTATTTGAGGCTAAGATTTCTTTCTCATATTAGAAATAATTATGATGAATTAAAAGATATCAGAATCTCTGCTGAGAACCTTCCCCAAACCAGAAGCTACATCCACTCATTGACCTGTTATGATGTTAGAGCATTTAAAATGAATGAGTTTCTTACTTCCCAGGAATAATTTTTAATGATGAAAATCAAGTCAACACTAAGTTCTTCCTTGACCTAAACAGCAGCAAAACTGTGGGAAAAGACAAAATATAAACATAGAGAAAGTCTTCAGAAGGAAATAAACAGTATTACCCCTTCTTCTTCATTGCCTTCTCTAGGATTTTCTCATGAGTCGACTTCTCTTTGTCATACTGTGCCACAATTTTGTCAACTTGCGTGCAGTGTAACTTCTGCATGGTACTGTGTTCCTGAACAAGAAGGATTTGCAGTTATGAATTGGACTCTTAGCATGGCTCACACCATATAGGGCTGGCATAACTTTCACCAGCTTCCCTAGAGTCTTCATTTAGAAAGTCAAGGAATAACCAAATCTGAGAACAGTACAGACTCCAGATCTCCCATTCAACACCGGTTTTTTTGTCCAAGGGCATTCCCAACATGGGAGTCTCTAGCCTCAGTCTAGTGAACATGCCCAGTTCAAATGCACTCCTGCTCAGCAGTGGGTAGTGCCAATCATCTCGAAGTCCTTTCTTCTACATATACACATCTCTGTAGTATTTCCACCCATTCATCTTTGTTCTGCTGTTTGAGACATGTAATTAGCCTACTGCCCCTTCCACACATTGGTCCTCAAACATGCAAGTTCAGCCACCATGTTTCTTCTCTTGTATATGCTAAATGTAACTATTCATCATGTGACATGGTTTCTAAACACCTGCACATTTTGGAGCTCTTGAATGCCATTATTATATAATGAGAGGCATCACTGTGTTTGTCACCATCAGCTGAATTTGAATCTACATCACTTAATATTTTCACTGGCTTACTTATCTAGAAGCAGTTTATGAGGATAAAGTGTTCAGGAGCTATGGCCTTCTGTTTTACAGATATTTAAAACATTTTCCCATCTGCTTCACGTAACCATTGAAATTGGGGCTGCAATGCTTTGGAAAGTAGGTATTTCAATATAAACATTATTTCTTCCTGGACAATGAAAAAGGCATTTAGCTACAGCCAATGACTTATATGAAATCAGATTTCTTTAGCTGCTCAGCCTCCCAAGCACAGAGGAAATCAGTACAATCAGAAATTTCCAACTCTAAATGACACTTGATGTTATAGCCTAACCTTACTCTTGAGAACCAGAAAAATGGGATGCTATTCATGACTGGAATGGGTGTACATGTTGTTCAGGTTATATAACCCCTCTCACCGTCATATTTCCTTTCACTTATTGAAGAAAATAGTGCCTTAATTTAAAAGCAAATTTATTTTCTTTCTAAGGTAGGCTTGACTTTATGCAAATCTAATTCATGAACTTCTTTTAACGGTTTCATAAAATATAAATGGGGAAGGAATTTTTAAGTCTTTACCAAGACTTCCTTAATTTCCCAGCTAAGAGATTTAACACAGGACTTGATCTACAATTCATTTATATATAAATTCTTTAGAAACGCATTCATGCACAAGGCCTCAGCATTCTTGTCTTTAGGAGAAGGAGTGGAGAAGGGTGATGCTGGATAGGGAGATTCCCAACATAGGAACTTACAGTGGGAACAAAGGCTAGGTGGGCTTGCTGTGGATCTGGGCTTAATTTGTAATTGGAATGCCCCATAAATCTAGCCATATTACCAATGTGTGTGCACCTTTGTGCTATAAACACATTTCCTCCAGAGCTTCTGCAATGTGGCACTGGGTTAAGGACATGGGTTTTTCAGTGCTGGGGTGAGTCACTTACCTTTCCAGAGTATGCTCATCTTTATAATTGGGATAGTGACATTTACTTCATAGGGTTGTTAGGATTAAAAGTGAATCTAATGTATCAAATGTGTGTTACAGCTTATTCAAAACACAGTGACATACAAACCTATCTATACTATTCAATACCCATGATAACACACAGAGAGTGACTTGAGATAGGGATATCAATCAGACTAATTAAATCAATAAATGTTTCCTCCATGCTTGATCTACTGCCCCAGGAATAGAGGAACATGTTGATGTATCCCTGAATGTATTTAACTACTCTTGTAATACTTTGGTACCTACTAAAATGCCCTCCTCCTAGTCTTCTTTCTAAGATTTAGAAATCATTATGGTTGGCTAACCCATGTGTTAATTTTTCCTGGGCAAAAAATTAAATAAATAAGGGGCTTTCTGCAGGTCTCAAAATATATCAGAAGTGCCACAGTCCTATATTATCTTGCAAATATCATTGAAAGGAGGGTGAAGGCTATTTCTTTAAATATTTTAGTGCAGAACAGGACAAGTAGAGACTTTGAGGCTTGGATGTAAATTGACACAGATTTTTTTCCTAAGAAAATATTTTGGTGAACCTTATTAATCCAATTAGATATGAGGAATAGGGCTCTTTGTACCACAAAGTTGTTTATGATGGATTCAACTCTATGTAATATGCTCTACAAGAGCAGGGCAGGTCTTTTCTCTTTACCAGTACATGGCACAAAGCCTGGTACAAAGTATATGCTCAATAAGTATTTATCGCATGAATAAAAAGTCAGCATAGGAAAATAGCAAGAGGACTTAGATTCTGGTCCCAGCTCAGCCAATAATTAAACAACTGCCCTTGTGTAACATATATAAATCTTCCCAGGCCTCAATGTCTTTATTAGAAAACTGAGTTAGGGCTGGGCACAGTAGCCCATGCCTGTAATCCCAGGACTTTGGGAGGCTGAGGCGCATAAATCACCTGAGGTCAGGAGTTCGAGACTAGCCTGGCTAACATGGCAAAAACCCAACTCTACTAAAAATACAAAAATTAGCCGGGCATGGTGGTGCACTCCTGTAATCCCAGCTACTCTGGAGGCTGAGGGACGAGAATTGCTTGAACCCGGGAGGCATAGGTTGCAGTGAGTCGAGATCATGCCACTGCATGACAGAGCAAGACTCCATCTCAAAAAAAAAAAAAAAAAAAAGAAAAGAAAAGAAAAGAAAACTGAGTTAGGTACCTTTGCCTAACCGAATTCATGAGTTGCTTATGAGATGCAAGGTTACTAAACATATGCAAAAATAATTTGAAAAACTGAAAGCATATTGAATTAAAGTGACTATAATTAATGTCAGTAACAGGAAAGCTGGTCCTGAAAAATTGTCTCTGTTTCTCTTTTTATTCAAAACTCCATCCCTGTGTGGTAGGCAGTGATTGCTGAAGTGTTTTGGGATAACTTGATTCCCAGACACCACTTGTCCTTTCAGAAAGAAATGGGGATCCTAATTACTGATTTCCATGTGACTCTGGTCAAGTCTCAGCTCATTGTGCTGTAAAATGAAGGAGGCATGAAATGATCTCTAAGTCCATCTTAGCTTAAAAAAAATGTCCATTATTGGTTTTATTCTTTTGGTCCTTAGTTAAATCATGAAACACTATTGAAGAGACATACATTTCTCATTCATTCAAGCCAAGAGTACCAAAATTAAATGTGTTAACTTAAAGTAAATCTTAACTGGGACATTTTGGGGAAAAACATGTATAGCATTCAGAAGAATTTGTGTACGTTTCTTATCCAAGTTAAGAGTAAATTCAGCTTCTTTTGGGGAAAACTGCTGCTGCAATTCATTCTTGTGACTGATGTGACTATGGGCGTGAATGATCGCACCACAGAGGGTGCTGAAAAATTGGAGTAAATCATGTTTGCTCAGCATGTAACTCTGAGATTACCAATAGGCGGACTCTGAGGGCAACTGCTGTGTCTCTGCCCCTTTCCACTGCAAAACTAAGTTATAGGTCTGGTACTAAGGTCTGACCATGAATTAAAATTGATGAGTTTAACAACAGTCTTGGTGCTGTCGGCTAAATTGCTTGCATAGCAAAGAGAAAATTTTCCATCAGTAGCTTTACTAAAAATGCCAGAGTTTAGTAGGCTTCTCAGGCATTTCATTTGACTCATTTAATGTTGATACTGCAAACTGGTGGCCTAAGGAATGTATCCTGCCTGCAGATGTAGTTTTTAGTTTTGGATTTTGTTTTGTTTTTTCCTACGCAGTTTCAAAAAGAGGTTGAATTAGACGCCGATAGTAAAAGATCAGGAAATTCAGATAAGCTTTCTGATTTTTTGACTCTCCTTTAAGAGGACACGACTGACCCATCTACTCTCCAGGCACCAATGGTGGTAGCTCAGACTGACTTGGCCTGTGGATAGAGATGAGTGCTCCCAGCTTTTATGGAGTCAACACCTGTCCAACTTCCCTCAGCTACTTCCTGCTTGGACCCCATAGGCATTTGAATTGTAATTCCCCTTCTAACACGTTACTGGAGATATGTATCCAACTTTGGGTTTTACATTTTTGGCTCTAAGGAATTGACCTCATTGGACAATTGAAAAGCATGCCTGTCTCTTAATGAAAGTAACTGCAGCTCTGGATCCCAATGAGTCATGTGCTGGGGGAGGATTATTGTTAATTAATTCTCCTTTTTCTGTGTCTCATATAATAGACACTTGAAAAACCATTACCCTAGTTTCCATTTCGAATTGAAGTGGTTCTAGAAAGTATGAGACAAGTAGAAGTTTGATTGCCAGTACATTCAGAGGGTCAAATGCAGTTGATCATTGCCATTTTCCAAAAATAGACATTTTAATGAGCATTTTTATATCCATCTGGGGTGCAAATGGTCGTTACCCCCATCTTTTCTTCTCAATATCCTAACAGCAAATTGCACACCTATTTGCAAATGGCAGAACCTCACACTCACCCCACTGTTCCTTTCTATCTGGTAGCTAACCTGCAAGTTTGGAAATAAGCTCTCCTTGGGACCATACATTTATTTCTTAAACTGCTGAGATATAGTTCATAGATTCTCTGCTTCTCTTTAAGTCTAAAAAGTAGAATTATTTATCTAGGCCAGCAGTGGCAAATCTTTTGGCTTCCTTGGGCCACATTGGAAAAAGAATTGTCTTGGGCCACACATAAAACGCTGACACTAATGATAGCCAATGAGAGAAAAAAAAAAAAAAAGTCTGTGCATAAATCTCATGTTTTAAGAAAGTCTACAAATTTGTGTTGGGCTGCATTCAAAGCCATCCTAAGCTGCATGTGGCCTGGGAGCTGCATGCAGGTTGGACAAGCTTGATCTAGGCTGATATGTAAGAGCTGAGATCTCCCTACAGTTGCTGGATATAGACTAAATAATAGTCCCTGTTCTTAGCTACCAAGGGCTGTTTGGGCCAGGGGCACACTAGTAGGGAGAGTGCAGCCCAGGTCATATTTCTTCATCAGCAGGTCATTTTATGACATAAGGCTTTGGGGTGGTAAGCCTTAGCTCCATGTTGGGTGGCTGAAAACTATTATAAAAGAGCTGTAGATGTCCTTTCACAGAAAGGATGTAGGAATTAATTCTTACTATTATGTGGCAAGAGGATAAAACCTCTGTTTCTTTAAGGAGGCTTGATAAGTGTCTTTGCAGGCGATTAGTGGGGTTTCTACTAAGGGCTCAAAAGATAGTAAAAAGTGCTACATAATGTTCCTAAAAAAACAGTCCTCAAAATTTAGCATGCAGAGGAGAGGAGTTTATCTAAAATGTATTTCTGTATTTCCTATATTCTTTTCTTAGAGATGATAGCTAAGTGTCAGATAGGCATAAGAATACATATTTTTGTAAAGCCTCCAGCTCTTGGCCCAATGACCTTATGTTGAAAAACCAGTCCTGAAGGAACCCAAGATATTTGTGCCCTGATAGGTTCATGATTGCTCTTAAAAACCTGTTAGTGAGACCATAAAGAAAAAGATGTGTGAAGAGAAGAAAAATTAGTGTGAGAAACATCAGAGGCAGCTGAGTATAGTGGTTACAAGTCTGAGTTCTCAAGCCGGGCTGAATTTGGTTCAAATCCTGACTCCACCACTTAAAAACTAGATGATTTAATGAAGCTGTGTTTTTTTAAGTATTAATAAGCTAATCTGTTGAATAGCCGGTAGGCTATAAAAATGGCCACAGTTATTTCCCTTTCTGCATCCACTCCCACTTCTGATGTAACTTTGTCACCTGTCAAAAGGTAGAGACCTCATAAGGCCAGACTTAGGACCTACTTTGGCCAAAAAATGAGGTGGAAGTGATGGTGTGTTAGTTCTGAGCTGGGGCCACAAGAAACTATGCTTGATCTGCTTGGTCTCTCAGGACCCCAGCCATGTGAACAAGCCTGGACTAGCCTGCTGGAAGACAGGAGACCACATAAAGCAGAGAGGAAGTGGTTTAACAGAGGCTGACCTAAATCAGCCAGTCCCCCATCTGCCAACCAAACTGGTAGTAACAGCAGATTCATGAGTGAATACAGCTGAGACCAGAAGAACCATCCAGCTAAACCCAGCTCCAACTACTGATGCACAAAATTGTGAGCCAAATAAATGGTCATTGTTTTAAGTCACTACATTTTAGGGTGGTTTGTTACCCTGCAAAAGCTAACAGATACAAAACTCATATAATTATAGTACTCCTTTATATAACTGTTATGAGAATACCTAAGAATATGTGCTTAAGCAAGTATCAATATGTACAAGCTAGTATTGCCACTTTAAAAGTGTTGACTGACAGAAAAATCAGTGTTAGGATAAACACGTCATATGGAGATCAGGCATGAAGTATGTCCAATGGTAATAGATTCACCACATTGTTCCCCTCTCCTTAAACAGTTTTTCATTTTTTGGTTTTAAAGACAACATGTTTTTGTTGTTGTTGTTGTTGTTTGTTCTGTTTTGTTTTTGAGACAGAGTCTTGCTCTTGTCACCCAGGCTGGAGTGCAGTGGCACAATCTCAGCTCACTGCAACCTCCGCCTCCTGGGTTCAAGTGATTCTCCTGCCTCAGCCTCCCAAGTAGCTGGGATTACAGGCACCTGCCACCATGCCTGGCTAACTTTTGTATTTTTACTAGAGACAGGGTTTTGCCATGTTGGCCAGGCTGGTCTTAAACTCCTGACTTCAGGTGAGATCTGCTTGCCTTGGCCTCCCAAAGTGCTGGGATTACATGCATGAGCCACCATGTCTCGCCTAAAGACAATATGTTAACAGAGCTGGCATCGGTGTATATTAGGCAAGTAAATATTCATTATATTCTTCATCTTAGAAGTTAGCTTGGGCCGGGCATGATGGCTCCAGGGAGTTAATGGACAACTCTGATGTAGGTTAAGTTCTAAAAATTGAGGGGCATCCTTCCTTAGTCACAGTCCTGATAATCAGCAGTATATCAACACTGCCCAAAGTTGATAGTGATTTTCCCTAATGTCCCATGTGCTGTCACTGCATTTGACCCAATGAGGGAACTTGTCCACTTAGTGAGCATCCCATATCCTACACAGGAGTATGGTGCAAGACTATGGATTCTGGACTCTTGATTTTGGTTCAAATATCAGCTATGCTGCTTCCTAACTCTGGGACATCAGATAACTTCACTAATTCCTAATTCCCTCACATATAAATGGAGACTCACATAGAATTTACCTTACAGGGTAGAGTCTTAAATGAGACAATGCATATAAGGTGCTGAGCACAGCATCTGAGAATTACTGAGCATGCAGGAATTCTAGCTGCTATTATTGCTGCTATTATTACCACCCGCCACAGCATATTTTCTGGCCATGCCTCAAGAAAATATTAAATGAAGCCAAAATCTTTATGTTTCCAACTAGCCCAAAGGCCACTGAGGTGTCTGCTCAATAAAAGAGATCCAATTTAAATGCAAGAAAAATCTGTTAGATAGTGCTGCAGCATACGGGCATCCACTCTATTCCAAATAATTAAAGTCATTTAAGGTGCTTTCTCTCTTATTTCTCATTCTTACTCTTTTTCTGTTGGCTTTCCATAGTTCAGCCTGTTGTCAATAACCAACAACATTGAAGCCCCTACTTTAAATTGTTCTGTCTCCAATAACCCCATTGAGCAATGTAAGGAATTTCACTGAATGGAATTATTCATGAAACTTAGAAACAGTCTTTGAAGTGAAGTGACTGTATCAGCAAATCCATTGAGCCCAACAGTTCTGTAATACAGGGAACATTACTAGGATAAGATTAGGCCTAACTTCTAAAAAAAATCAGTGTTAGGATAAACTCTTAAAGAAATGACTTCTCAAAAAATCAGTGTTAGCACAAACTCTTAAAGAAATGACAGGGGACAGGGTTCCAGACAATGTTCTCGGCATCTCAATACGTGGAATGATTAAAAGGTACATCACTCAAGCCAAGTTCTGAAGGACATGCCTTGGTTTGAGGCTTGGGTCAGAGAATAAAGAAACAGGAATGCAAGATTAGTTTAAAAGAACTCAGAAGTTCTTTCAAATTAATAAATTATAAATTAAGTTTCTCTTGCTCTCATTGCCCTTAATAAAAGAGGACAGACATTATCCTACCAGCAGCAGCTGGTTATTATATGTTCTTAGGAAGGAAAGAGGTACTACCTTTTTCTTCTTTACCTGTGAGGGAGTCTGGAAGTGACGATGTTTGAGGGCCATGACGTTTTTCAACCCACAGGAGAATTCCTGGGGCCACCTCCTGCTGTTCTCTTACAATTTGCAACTAGCTCTTGTAATTTTTCACAATCACTGTCAAAATACCACTTCTTATGGGTAAAAAGCAAAAATAAATCTATTTCAGAAGTAGGCTACTGGGCAAGATTTACATAAGGGAGAAAAAGTGACAAGTGTTCTCTCTCTAGGTGCTGTGAGTGGGAGGTTGACAGATTGCTAGCATCTCCCTCCATGCACCAGTGTGTATGGCAAACTATGTGACAGTGACCTGGCAATTTAGGTAACTAGTGGCTAGAATTGTGAGCTGGTCTTCAATATTTTATATAGTCATGTTATTAGTGAAATAATTTTTCTTTTTTTTTGAGATGGAGTCTTACTCTATCACCTACACTGGAATGCAATGGCACGATCTCAGCTCACTGCAACCTCTGCCTCCCGGGTTAAAGCGATTCTCCTGCCTCAGCCTCCTGAGTAGCTGGGATTACAGGGGTATGTCACCACACCCAGCTAATTTTTGTATTTTTAGTAGAGACAGGTTTTACCATGTTGGTCAGGCTGGTCTCAAACTCCTGACATCCTATTCTACCCACCTTGGCCTCCCAAAGTGCTGGGATTACAGGCGTGAGCCACTGTGCCCGGCCTAGTGAAACAATTTTTAAATGGATGAAGCTTTGTTATGCATTTGAAAGAATTGTTAGAAATGCAGACTACAAACAAGTGACAAGCACTCCCAAACCGATTCTATTTTTTAATTTCATTGTTAACCAGTTAGAATGAGTTATTACTGTTAAGTGGTCTGGTATCAGCTTCAAAGTAGTGTTTTTGGCTACAAATGATTCATCCATACATAACACAAAATAGTAGCTGTAGAGCACTGTACCTTTGCATGTTTCTTCTTTAAAGAATTTAGCTCCTTCTGCTGTTTCTTTAAATGCTTCAAGTAAGCCTTTGGGAGAAAAATAGAATCAAAAATAGGTTTTTTGTTTTTTCTTTTTGTAATCACAATGATTACACTTGGTGAGAAACAAAAATATATTGGTGTCACCAATATGTGTAATACAAGAGTGCTTGCAAAATAGTCAAGCAATTTTACCTTCATCTGCTTTAAGTCTTCTATCCTTACTTGAGGGATAAGTTCAATACCTAAACAAACAAAAAAAATTAAGTCACTATGTATACTAAAAATCAGAGAGAATAACTGGTAATATAGAACTGACATATCGAAATCTCATCGAAAGACTTTGAAGCAGCTTTACATATGATGAATATAAACATCTTAAGTTCCTATTACAAAGCAATTAACTGGACAATTGAAATGTTGAATGTCTTAACTTAGGTCAGGTTTCCTACAAGCAGAGCCTGAGAAGGGGATTCATGTGCAAGTGATTGATTGAGGGCAGACTCTCAGGAGAAACCCCTAAGGGAATGAAAGAAGTGGAGCAGGGCAGAGGAACAAGGTAGGGTGTGTTTCCAGTAGAAATCCAGCCTCAGTCTGATCCTGCAGGGAGCTCTTCAGTACAAATGGCACCCAAGAGTCATTCCACCTTGGCAAAAAGAGGCTGGGCATTTGTAACCCTGGATCAATCAGCTGAGTGCTACAGAGGTTTCACAAAACCTTTCAGGCAAGGGAACTCTCATGGTCCCAGGGCAATTCTATGGAGAAGGGCAGCTGAAATGCCCAATCAGCCAAAATTCATAGGAGCTGTGAGATGGGATAGTGAACCCATAAAGGGGAGCTGATCAGGCACAAAAGTATCTATTATCCTTATTCTTACCTTTGTATTTCAAGGCATATCATGCCAGTCAACTAATTCCCAACTCTATTCTCAATTCAGTCATTGTGAAAGAATAAAACATTTTTTTCTGGCTTCTCCCTTTTACCAAATTCAATCTTAGCATTTAAGCAATGTGCTATTGAGCACAGCAATGCCTTAAACATACAGGAAATAATAAAATCAAACCAGTGTATAACAGGAGCATACCAGGAGGAGCTAGGGTAATACACTAAGTCATCCTGCTATCTGAGTGATGCTAGGCCAGGTGTTGTCATGGCAACAACAGTTGTAGCCAGATCCTCAAACAGTTTCTGTTTGACTGCAGATTTTCATCTTAGGCAAACAAAATGAATGTGTACTCTGTGCTGTAATTGATTTCCATTAGAATCCCAAAGGCTAGGTATGATATATTCAAGAAAGATAGGCATCAAGTCCCAGGCTCTTGTTTTTCCCTTTTATTCATTTTAAGATGTGCACATTCAATGATAGGGTGGTCAGGCCGCAGAAGGAAAGTTTTGGCTGAGGGAAATCAGCCTTGTGATCTGTAACATTTTATGATCGGGGTATAAAGGGTCCATGGGGCTCTCTACTGATCTCCTAAGTTGGCTTTCACAAGCTGTCTCTCTAGTGACTGAGGCAGGGTAAGGCAAGGGAGTGACTCCTGGCACACAAAGAGCTCCCTGTCTTTAGGCCTCAGCTCTCTCATCTGTAAAATGAACATACAGGATTTGGGGAGTATGCAAGGTCCTCCAGAGATCTAGCAAATTCTGAGTTTGACCCAGTCTGATGAAACTTACACTCTCTCTCTCAATTTTTATTTTCTTTTTGTCTTGGTTCAACTAAGTCTTGATTAAAAGGAACCTACAAAAACATAAACTTCCCTCAACTACCTGGTTTTGTGTTTTGGGGGAAAGACACAATTTGTAAAAATGTTGATTCCCATAAGTGATTTAGTTAGAAAAAAAAAAACCACACTCTACAGAAGAGGACAGTTCCATCTGCGTGCCAAGAACAGCCTTCCTCATAGAGCTTTGCACAATAATGGGAATGTTCCATGCGTGGGTCTGTCCAACTGACGGCCTCTAGCCATCTGTGGCTCTTGAGCACCTGAAATGTGGCTAGTGTGAATGAGGAACTCAAGGTTTAACTTTTAAGTTAATTGTTAAATAAATTCAAATAGCCCTATGTGGTTAGTGGTAGCCCCATGTGGTTAGTGGCTACTATATAGGACTGTGCAGGTCTACAGGCTTCCCTGGTATGAAAGTAGGTTAGGCAGCACATTTTGGGTTTTAGCTAATTGAAGTTTCACTACATAAAGTTTTTGTTCATATCAGCATAGTTCCTTAACAATAACTTGTTTTCTCTTAATTGCTAATCTGGAAGTTAGGAGCTGGGTGTTCTTAATCCTTTGTTCTTAAAATCAGAAAAAAAAAAAAAAGTCGTGTTGGTGCAGTTGTTGCTGTTTGGCTGAATGTCTAAGAAAAACAGTTTGGAATTTCACACCTCCCCACCTTCATAGAGGTCTGCAGCAAATGCCGTCTGCTCCAGCCACACACTATGCCCTCTCTACATCAGCTCTTCTAGTTCACTTCCAATTGCCAGCGTCTGAATGCCGAGAATTTATCCCTTCCACGGGAACCCTCAAGAAAAGGCTGACAGGAGTCAGGGTATACATTCCCCAGCTCCCTCATCCCTCTAAGAGGAGACCTCTGAGAAGTATGTCCAATACCAGCCCCCAGAGTTTCTCCAGGGCATTAAGTTCCAGGTGCCTACTGGCAACTGGCTTTAAAACATTCTAATTACTGGCTGCCTTCCCTCCCTGGTGTCACTTCTTCACATCTCTATCCATGTCCACTGCCTCCCAGAATAAACTACTTGCACTGGAAGCCTTCTCTCAGGGTCTTTGGGGTGACTCAAATTAAGACAGTTTTCTGGAAAGAAATGGAGGCTTGCTTTCTCAAATGACATCACTTCCCCCAAAGGCTCCTGGAGTAGAGTTTATTCCCCACCCCACCCCAATCCATGGAGAGGCGTGGGAAGAACACCTATAGACTTCTCTCTTGTACTTCCATGCCATTCTCCTAAAAACTATCATACAAAAGAACAGACCTCTCACTTACACCAGGCTCTGCTGAGCCTAACTACCTCCACATGTGTCCTTTTAGGTCACACACTGCCCGGCCCCATGAACTTCATATCTGAATTGTGGTTTTCCTATGCAGGCATTCCCAGACGTCCAACACAGTGATTCAATATGCATGAGAAGAATGTGCTGAGTGACTTTTCTTTCTGTTTTCATGATGCCTTCCATTCTAGAAATCTTCATCTCTACTTTACCTCACCTCCCACTGACAGTTGTAAACGGGATGTTAACACTGCTTGAAACTGCCCTTCCTCCAAGACAAGTAGCTTAGAGTAACCTCTTTCTGACTGCAATCTCCATCCTGCCAACTTCACTCACTCCCTCACACCTACCAAGCAAGCTTTTTACTTTCATCTTGTTCCTGGTTCCCTTTAACCTTTTCCTTTCCTAGAAAAGTCTCTCTCCTCTAGTATCTACCCCACTGGAACATTAACCTATATATTATGATCAGGGTGGCAGACTGAGTGCAAAAATGGCCAAAAAATTCCACCCCTCCCTGTTTCCACACCTACTTACATGTGACTTTGGAATTTCTCCCATCAATATGTGGAATCTGTTTCCCCAACTCTTGAATCTGAGCTGGGCCATGTGACTTGCTTGGGATGACAGAATGTAGTGGAAAGGATGCCATGCCAGTTCTAAGTCTAGGACTCATCAAGGAACCTGACATACAGATGGTTCAACTTACAGTGGTTCAACTTTGTGATGAAGCAAAAGTGATATGCATTCAGTAGAGAGCATATGTTGAATTGTGAATTTTGATCTTTTCCTAAGCTAGGGATATGCGCTGGGGCTGCAGCAAGCCTCAGCTCCCAATCAGCTGTATACTCTACACTGTACTGCATTTAATAAGTTACACGAAATATTTAACACTTTATTATAAAATAGGCTTTGTGTTAGATGATTTTGCCCAACTGTAGACTAATGTAGGTGTTCTGAGCACATTTAAAATAGGCTAGACTAAGCTAAGCTATGATGTTCGGTAGCTTAGATATTAAACACATTTTTGACTTAATGATATGTTCAGCTTATGAGGATGTAACTCTGTCATAAGTCAAGGAGCATCTGTACTTTCACCTCCATTTTAGAACACTGCAACTACCATGTGAACAAGCCCAGGCTAAGCTGATGAAAGATGAGAGTCCACAAGGAAGACAGCCCACTTGTCCCAGCCAATGACACTTTAGCTGAACCCCAAACATTTGAATAAGCATAGCTAAGATCAGCTGAGTCACTGATACTAATCCTCCCATAACCAGAAAAGCCACCCAGACAACCTCATGAGCTATAATAGATGCTTACTTATTTAAATTACTGACTTTTGTGATTGCTTGTTACACATCAATAGCCAACTGTTACAGTGTCATAACTTAATGGTCTTCAAACTTTTGGTCCCAGACCATATAAATTGTGATAATTTCAGGCTTGCAACTCCCTAAGCTGTACTTTGTCCACAGTTGTTGCTGAGTTTCTGGGCACTGCTGAAGAAGTAATGAGATCAAGCTACATCAACTTAGTACACACCACCAACCCTCACCAGGGTCCTGTGTGCTATGTGGCAGACCTTCTCCTTATTTCCTGTGGATCATTCTATTCCAGCCAGGGGCAACTCCAAAGCTTTTCTATACTGCTGTTTTTCAGTTCTACCTCTACGTTTCTCAGCAGAGAGCAGCCACCTAACCAACTTCTTAGATCAGATAAAATCTATCTGTGTTATACTACAAAAATGACCACTATTTCTTTCTCCTCTAATCAAGAGGTAGAGTCTATTTCTCTACCCCTTGAATATTGGTTCACTTTGTGACCTGCTGTAGCCAATGGGAGACTAGCAGAGGCTGGAAAAGGGCTGCTCTTTAAACTCAGGGAGTACCATATGAACAAGCCTGCTCAGGCTTCAGGATAATGTGAAACAACTTGCCAAATGACAGATGTGTGCATAAGGTCATCCCACATCTACCTTCCAGTCAACCTATCAGCTGATCACAGGTGCATAAGCAAGACACAGAGATTAGCCAAGCCAGCTTAGACCAACCAACCCAATGAAACATGATCTCAATAAATGGTGGTTGTCTTAAGCTACTAAAATTTGAGGTCATTTGTTATGCAGCATAAGCTGACTGATACACCGTCTGTCAAGAATTCTTCCTGTCTATCCTGAAACTTCTATTCACTCATCATTCTTCTTAGCTCAGACAGAACATATCTCTTCCTTCCTTATCCAGCTGAATTTCACCCTTTCTGTTGATTCAGATCTTCCTTATAGCCTTGTTTTACCATGTACTCTCTTTTGCATTTTCCTTGTTTTTCTTTATTAGTTCCTACCAACATGCTACTGTCCTCCAGAACAACCATTTTATGTCTTAAATTATGTCTCACATTTTTTTAACCATGTTTCTACCTTCATCATCCAATCACCCCTGGTTCAACTATAATTTTGTAGTCTTCACTTCTCTGGACTTGTCTACAGCATCTTCTCAAAACTAATTCTTCTTAGAACATAGATCTCTCTTTTCTCTTTTTTCCCCATTCATTCTGCCTTCTAAGTATTCTTATTCTGTTTCTCTGTCCCTCCTTCTTCTTCTCCACCTGATATAGATTTGGTAATTGCATATTTCTGCCCAGATGTATCAGCAACAGCTTGTCCTCAGTGATATACAGAACCAAAATCATCTTCCTTACCAAAAGCAGCTCCTCCTCCTAACTCCTCTACTTCTCTCAATGGTACAATCTATCTCTGGGATCTGTCCTTGAAGTCTGAGTTACCAAAAAGCCCCTTTCTGCCTAAGGCCCATATCAAAGCTGCCAACTTATTTCTTTCTTTCTTTTTTTTTTTTTTTTTTAAGATATAGTCTCCCTCTTTCACCCAGGCCGGACTGCAGTGGCGCTATCTCAGCTCACTGCAAGCTCCGCCTCCCGGGCTCACGCCATTCTCCTGCCTCAGCCTCCTGAGCAGCTGGGACTACAGGGGCTCGCCACCATGCCTGGCTAATTTTTTGTATTTTTAGTAGAGACGGGGTTTCAACATGTTAGCCAGGATGGTCTCGATCTCCTGACCTCATGATCTGCCCGCTTCGGCCTCTCAAAGTGCTGGGATTACAGGCATGAGCCACTGCACCTGGCCTCAAGCTGCCAACTTATTTCTATTCTTCCTTCCTTTTGACAATTTCCAACTTAATCTAGATTTCCTTGCCCCTATCATTCATTAAACAGCGCTTTACTTCCTGAGAAAATAGACTACTAGATTTTAACTAGGCATGGTTCCAGGGACACACTGATGATGAGGTGTGGTCTCATCTGCAATGACCTCTTTCTCTGGTTGTTAATACTTTATTAACACAATGTGATAGGTGTGTTATAACAGAAGCATGAGTATCATAATTCTTACCTTGCCCTTAGCATGCCCACTTTCAATGAATTCTTCTGCCAAGACTATAATTTTCTTCAAATACTCCTTTGACTCATTTCCCATGACCTTCTCAGGATGACCCCAGAATTCTTTCCAGAACAAGAAAAATGAACTCCTTGCCACTCCCTATCAGCATTCTCCCTGCCCACTTTCCCTCCAGTATGGAATGGGCACCATCCAATCAATGGATGTCTGGCCAATTCATATGGAAACCAATTAAAATAACCAGCACAGTTGTTTCCCTACATACTGGCTGAATATGAGACACGTGATTCTTTGTGATGCCACCTCTTAATGATCTTTTGTTTCATCTACAGGTAAGCACATGGAATTGGCCTTCAAGTGCTCATTTGATAATTTTACAAACAAATAATCATGTTTCTACTTATGAGGGAAAATTATCAGTATGAGAATTTAGAAATGTCCAATAGGAATAACTATGTTGGTTCATGAGCCCACGGCCTGTCCAGGTAACTACCTATGGGAGGGTCTGGAAGAGAGTGGGGATGAATTAGTTAACATCACTATGTAAAAGGTTCTTTCCCACAAAGAACTTCGAATTTATATATTTCCTAAAGCTATAGATATTGTACACTGTGTAATTAAGGTGGGTGCAGAAGATAAGGAACCCAACGGCTCTCTCTCACCTTTCTTGGCTTCCACACCAGAGGCCAGGGCAGCCGTGGTGGTTGGTCTGAGCTCAGAGCTACTCTGAGGGGTCACATTTGCTTTGGCGGTGTTGGCCTTTCCTTTCTTGTCATTTTTGGAAGTGTCACTGGGCACGTCGGCTATGTCACTCTGGAACAGAAACATTTACATTGACCCAAATGAATGTCACTCAAGGTCAAATATCTTGTACATTCTTTATTTTACTGAATCCAGTAAACTTCTACCATACTCTTCCTAGACTTCTACTCTCTTAAAGGCAAAGGATCCAG
This sequence comes from Homo sapiens, assembly GCF_000001405.40. Lineage (NCBI taxonomy): Eukaryota > Metazoa > Chordata > Mammalia > Primates > Hominidae > Homo > Homo sapiens. The sequence goes on along the minus strand of NC_000020.11, from coordinate 9,436,861 downwards.
CCAAGGAAAGAAGATCCAACTTCTTAACAAGCAGAGAATACTTTCTCTTTTTCTAGCTATTGGAGAGATGCTACATCCATTCCAAACTGAGGAGTCTGGTAAAGAGAACATTTAAAAACAAAGAAACAATCCACGTGTGCACTGGAATGGGAGAAGGTTGGGATGTAAGGCTGGCAAACAGTGAAAAATCAATAATAAACGCCATTTTGGCTGGGCATGGTGGCTCACGCCAGTAATTTCAATGCTTTGGCAGGTCAAGGTGGGAGGATTGCTTGAGGCCAAGAGTTTGACACCAACCTAGGCAACAGAGTGAGACCCTGTCTTGACAAAAAAAGTAAAAAAATTAGCCAGGCACAGTGGCATGCATCTGTAGTCCCAACTGCTGAGGAGGCTGAGGTGGAAGGATGGCTTGAGCCCAGAAGTTTAAGTTTATAGTCAGCTATGATCACACTACTGCACTCCAGCCTGGGAAACAGAGCGAGATCCTATCTGTTAAAAAATAAATAATTAAAAATAAAAAGCAATTATCATTAATTCACTGAACTAGGTTAACTGGTATTTCAGTGTATCATAGAAACATCCTGTACAGTACAGTTTGAATATCCCTTATCTGAAATGCTTGAGACCAGAAATGTTTTGGATATCAGATTTTGGAACATTTACATATACATAATGAGGTATCCTGGGGATGGGACCCAAGTCTAAACAGAAAATTCATTTATGTTTTATATACAACTTATACACAGCCTGAAGGTAATTTTATACAATATTTTTAGTAATTTTGTTCATGAAAGAAAGTTTATGTACAGTGAAACTTCAAAAAGCAAAGGTATGACTATCCAATGTCAGCACTCAAAAGGTTTTGAATTTTGGAACTTTTCGGATGTTGCATTTTTCTGATTAGAAATGCTCCACCTACATTTTAAACTTTCCCAAAAGTATAACAAATGTTTTGCATTTTCTTTCTAATGGGGAAGGGGTCCCCAGATGTGAGTTAAGCCACTGATGATGAAGTGGATTTTTCTGATGGCAGTCACATTTTATTAAACATGCCACACTTTTGTAGAAAGTTAACTATTGTTGAATTGATGAGCTCAGTTTTAAAAACCCTCCTTAAATTTGCTAATTCATTACTTTGTCTTGTTTTTGTAAACACTGTTTGATAATCAAACTCCCACAACTTGGCCACCTTTAATCAACCATTTCTACTTACAGTTTCAATGCCCATAGCTCTCATTTGGTCTGCTCTCTTTTCTGTAATTGAGAGAAATTTCTTTGGATCTGATAAAGCATCCACGATATCTAGGGGAAAAAAAAACCCAATGAGCCGTTAATTCTCTGTTTTACTGAAAATATTCATTAAAACTCTGCTTAATAAACTACAATCCTGGATACCTGTTGTGCTTTCTGTTAATAATCTTTTCCTAGGACATAAGACACACTGAGGAAGGCACAGCTAGTTGCAGAAAACAAGAAAGGAGTTAAAAGCAAGGGCCAAAGACCAGATGATTTTTTTATTTAGTTTTTCCTGATACAAAGTTTTTCCTGATATGAAGGAGGCAAAGTGTCAGGACAAACTGAGTGAAGTGTGTGGGTTCTAGACTGTTTCTTCACTTGTGTGTGACTTTCAGCAAGTTGATTAATGTCCCCAGCCTCAGTTTCTTTATCTGGAAATTAGGGTGGATACCACCTGCCCTGCAGAATAATCATGATAATTCAATGAGATGATGAACACAAAAAGTACCTGAGGCAGGTAGGTCTTATTTTTCGATACAGAAGGATAATACATATTCAAAGCCAATTTTGGTTCCATGGTAGACAAAATGAAATCTTTCTCTAGTGTTTTCTCAGGTATAACTTGAACTTAAAAGATAGTAGAATTTAATATTTTATATTAATGCCATTTGAAGATTTCCAAGTACTTTCAGAGTTTCATATAATCGTGCACAATTTACTCATACTATAGAAGGCAAAATTATTCTTGTTAACTTGAAACCATCCATAATTTATACATTTTAAATACTGTGTAAGTTTATAAAGTTTTCCCTAACAGAATCGCCTTCCTAATTACAATCTTAGGATAATTCTTAAGATAACATTCTCAGTACACGGGGCACATAATTCTCTAGGTTTCAATTTTTTTTTCTTTTCCTTTTTATAACAGAAAATAACATTTGCACATGGTTGGCCGGACGCAGTAGCTCACGCCGGTAATCCCAGTACTTTGGGAACACGAGAAGGGTGGATCACCTGAGGTCACGAGTTCAAGACCAGCCTAGGCAACATGGTGAAACCCCGTCTTTACTAAAAATACAAAAATTAGCTGGGCTTGGTGGCGCATGCCTGTAATCTCAGCTACTTGAGAAGCTGAGGCAGGAGAGTCACTTGAACCCAGGAGGCGGAGGTTGCAGTGAGCAGAGATCGTGCCAATGTACTCCAGGCTGGGTGACAGAGTGAGACTCCGTCTCAGAAAAAAATAATAATAAACAAATAAAATAAAATAACATCTGCACATGGTAAACATTCAAATATATAAAATGAAAAGTGAAAACTTTCTCTCCTGCCAATCCTACGCCCAGAAGGTAACTATTATTATCCATTTCTTGTATCCTTTCTGATATTTTTTAAAACTCCAAATGGGTTCATAGTTTTCTGCACCATTTTTTAATGTCAAATATCTTGGGAAACATTCTCATATTGGCAATATAGCTCTAATACATTAATTATAAGGGTTGCTTAAACTTTCCATTCTCTGAATGGTGATAATTTCTTTAACCAGTTCCTATTGGTAGACAGCTTGTCCTTCCAGTTCTTTGCTATTAAAGTATTGTAGTGAATGTCTTTGAACATTTCGTAGCATACCTCTACATATATTTACAGAATAGATTCTTAGAAGTTAGAATGATGGGTAAGAGTATTTGTCCTATGGTAGTTATTGCCAAATTGCACTCCACCGAAATTGCATCAATTTATTCTCCCACCAGTGGCATGTGAGAAGGTCTGTTTTTATCACCCATGATCCCTAAGAACTCTTTGCCTCTCAACAACAGCTGTGGAAAAATTAGTTCTTAAATCTTGCTCAGGAAAAAAAAATCACAGACAATTATTTTTGGCAAGTTAATATTCTAGGAATTTATTTATATATTTTAAACTCTTTGTTACAAAACATTTCAAGTATACACAAAAGTGGAGAGAACAGTACAATAACCCCTCATATATTTATGATGATAACCCAACAATTATAAACATTTGTTTGCCACATTTCCTTTATATTCCTTTCATTTTTTCTCTTTCCTCTCTATTGAAATATTTTAAGGTGAATTCCATATATCAGAACATTTAATTCCTAATAACTTGTCTCTGCAGCTCTAAATTTAATTTGGAGCCAACCATCCCAATGCTATATCCAACAAAATTGGCGTAATTCTTTACTATGATATAATACACAGCCCATCTTAATATTTCCCCTATTTATAGTTACATTGCTTGAATCAAGGTACCAGATTTCACACTATGTCTCTGATAATTATGTCTCTTAAGTCAATTTTAGTCTAAAGCAATCCCTCTTGACATCTTTCTTTAAGGATACTTCTAGGAGGTGCTGTGACTTTATATGCATCACATTGAGGGACATAAAGGCTGGTTGTCCCATTTGTGACGCTAAGTTCCTCAAGTAGGCTCAGGAGGTGGCAGCTTGCAGGAGGTGGCAACTCCATCTCTGCATTCATACTGCTGCTATCTCTCTTCACAGCAATTCGGTGATTCTCATGGCAATACTTTGGCTCCCAACATTACTTTTAGAGGTGCTTGCAGGAGGTGGCAACTCGATCTCTGCATTCATACTGCTGCTATCTCTCTTCACAACAATTCGGTGATTCTCATGGCAATACTTTGGCTCCCAACATTACTTTTAGTGGTGCTGATGGTGCTGACATCTCTCTTCAGTCAGTAGTGTCTGGAGGAGACACAGGGTCTACCTCCATTGCTTAGAGAGGAAATGCAATGTTCAGAAGACTCCTCTGATGCCAATTCATGTCTTTCTACTCAGCATCCTTCTGCCCTGTGGTCACTGGTCAACCATGAGGTGATGCTGTGTTAGGAGAACCACATGGCTTTCTCATCGTCATCAGGATGCCATGAAGTGGGCATGATTAAGGTCCTTCAGCACATGAAGACACAATTTGACCAACCTAGACTTTTAGCACAACTCTTTGTGCCTGACTCCCAAATGCCTCTTCTTGCCACTTGTCCACACCATTATGAGGCAGAGTGAGGTTTAACTTGTATCCATTAAACTTTTCTGCCCTTCTTTGGAGGAGATATACTTGGTCTATGCTTCTCTGTACATTCTCACTTCAGATATGTTTTGCCAAGCATCCAATCCCAATGGCACATTTCAGTGATAACACACAGGACTGGGTGGTTAGGAAACAAATACTCGCTAATTTTTAATAACATATAATCAGTCTGGGGGCCTGAAGAGAGTATATGGCATTTTTGAGGAGTAACTGGTAGTCTTTTCCATAGGAATAACAGATAATACTTTAATTACTTAAAACAAGTTACAGAATCAATAAAGCAAGACATTAAAGAATCAATAAAGCAAGATATTAAATGATCCATCTATCCTAACCAAGCATTTTTGTATATTTTTGTGTCATTTTTGCACATGAATACATATTTTCCATGGTTTATTAGAAGTTATATAACCTGCATTTTCATTGATGCATATATTATATCGGCATAGTTCTGAAAATTATTTTTAGTAAATGGGAAATGTCACATTGATTTTCTATATCAAACTATTCCCCACTGGTAGATACTTAGATGGGCTTTCAACTTTTCTATAAAAAGATGAATTTAGGAATATCTTAGTGCAAAAAATGATTTCTTTGTCATTTTATCAGAAAGTTAATGGTTTAGTTAAATAATATAGCACTTTATATAACTCATATGCCTGATAGGCATTCCTAACAAAATTTATTCTTAATAAGCTTTAAAATAGTTATTGAAGAATGATGAATGGAAGGAGTACTAAGAAAATAAAGCGGAGGCCGGTCACGGTGGCTCATGCCTGTAATCCCAGTACTTTGGGAGGCTGAGGTGGGTGGATCATTTGAGGTCAAGAATTTAAGATCAGCCTGGTCAACATGGTGAAATCCTATCTTTACTAAAAATACACACACACACACACACACACACACACACACAAACACACACACACACAAATTGGCCCCGTGTGGTGGTGCACACCTGTAATCCCAGCTACTCGGGAGGCTGAGGCAGGAGAATTGCTTGAACCTGGCAAGTGGAGGTTGCAGTAAGCTGAGATCATGCCACTGCACTGCAGCCTGGGCGACAGAGCAAGACTCTGTCTCATAAAGAATAAAAAATAAAAATTAAAAGCAGAATTAAGAGGGTGGAGTAGGTTGAATAGTGTCCACCAAAACTCCTGTCTACCTAGAACTTCAGAACGTGATGTTATTTATAAACAGGGTCTTTGCTTAGGTTTTAGAAGAGGACTGAAATGAGATCCTACTAGATCAGGGTGGGCCCTAAATCCAATCACTAGTGTCGCTATAAGAAGGGAGAGAACATGGAGTCACAGGGAAGAAGGCCATGTGACAACAGAGGCAGAGACTGGAGTGGTGCATCTTCAAGCCAAGGAATGCCAAGGACTGTCTGAAGCCACCAGAAGCCAGAAAGAGGCAAGGAAGGATTCTTCCCGAGAGCCTTCAGAGAGGGCATGGCCCTGCCCACCACTTAGTCTCAGGCTTCTAGCCTCCATAAATCTCTGCTGTTTTAAACCACCCAGTCTGTGGTTATTTGTTACAGTAGTTCTAGGAAACTAGGGCAGAGGGAGAACAAGACAACTGTACATTCGATTGCCAACAGTAATTGAGGGGAAAAAAATTCACTACTTAAATTCTTGGGTATGCATCTTCCATAAAAAGTCATGTGCTTAAGTGTACAAGGCAGGCTTTATCATTAAGACTATGGAGGGTCCAGCAGCCCCTGGAGACCTCCTGCTAGAATACCAGTGGTTTTCCTCCTGTTTATGCAGCAATGTCTTGGTCTCAGCTTCTAGGGCTGATTCTACACAATCCTGACCTAGCTGAATCCACATATTGTCTTGTTTGTCACAGGCAAGCTATCTGAGATGCTCTCATCAGCCATCTGCTATCGGATTATGTAGATGTCACCTAAATGATACAACAAAATCGGAGCCTGCTGAAGATTTATCCATTAGCTGGATAAATATCATTACTTAACTCTATCTTGAATTACCAATATTAACAAATCTAGACACTATTAGGGACATATGATGCCAGATCCTAACATGCTGCCTTATTTGGTCTTATTTTTTGAAACGTCTTATTTGAGATGTTTTATTTGCAGTTAGAGGCTGCCTTTACCTTTAAGAAATTACAATATACAATAATAATGCAATATAATGTTCTTGAACAAAATGCAACAAAAATATGAAAAGTGTAAAGTAAGGTTTGTTCAAATTAAATCAGATAAGACAAAAAAGAGATTACAAAAGGACTAAATGCCTTGAGCAAGGCTAAAGTTAGCAGGCTATTTGAAATGGATGCTTCATTCCTAGCAATTTCATATAACAAACTAGATACTTCTAGGATAAGCATGCCCAACCCATGGCCCACAGGCCACATGTGGCCCAGGATGGCTTTGAATGTGGCCCAACACGAATTTGTAAACTTTCCTAAAACATGAGAATTATGCACAAACTTTTTTTATTTTTATTTTTTAAATTTTATTTATTTATTTATTTATTTTTATAGCTCATCAGCTATCGTTAGTGTTAGTATATTTTATTTGTGGCTCAAGACAATTCTTATTCTTCCAATGTGGCCCAAGGAAGCCAAAAGATTGGATACCCCTTTCTAGGATGTCTAATTGGGTCATGTGGTGGCAGGTGTTCATTCTGTAGCTGGAGTTATAGAACAATGCAGAAGAATGGCATTTGAATACCTGGGACAGTTCTGACAAAAATTCTCTGCCAAAGTGCAAAGGGCTCAGCATTAGGGAGCCAAGGCCTGCCTTGGCATCTTTAAGATAATTTTTCATTGTAATTCAGTTTCTCCACTGGCCAGAGGCATATATATGTGAGACATATGGATAGGTAGATACGAAGAGTGCTGCATATCAAAAAAGGAAATTGATTTTTAATAGCCACATTTAAAATAATCTGTAATCAGAGAATGAAAAGCTCTACCTCAAATATCTCATACTTACCTACTTGTGTAACTGTACTTGAAAAATGGTATTTATTTTTTCCTTGCCTCAGCCCAGAAAAATAACTTGAGGAAGTGGTTAAATAAATCTGGTATATTCTTGGCCAAAGTTTTGCATATTCAAGTAAACCCAGTATCTTTCTTTGGTGCCAATATGACATTTCACTGGGCTTCCTTCCTTTTATTGGGGAATACTGTGGCTGCCTATTTCCCATTTAGTTTAGGGTTCCACAGGATAAATCACTGTGGCAAGAATTCATTTCCAGTGCTGATCGGCATCCACTGGCAGGTGAGTAGGCCTTGCTGGGGGGAGCCACATTGTACATCTAACAGGGTAGAGATGGATGCATGCAAACTCCTGACTCTGCAGAACCCATGTAGGTGGCCTAAAACACCCTAGATTCTTGGAGGCCACAGCAGGGGCTCCGGAACCTCTCTTTTTAAAAGAAACCAGTCTGCTTTTTCTGATTTGGTTCTTTCATTAAGATTTAACTTAAAGCTCTACTTATGTGTATTTTTAAAAACACCATCTATTTCTGGGCATAATGTCATTTCCATGAAGCTGGTCTCTCCTAGTAAAGACTCTCCATGTAGGCCCTGCTTTTCCCCTCCCTTCCTCCCTGCCATGCTTCCTGACTTTCATATAGAGTTGAAAGCATCAATGTAGGTGTCTCTAAGAATGGAAATGAAGATAGCAATTCCTTAGTACAGACTTCCAGATGCTTATTGGCTTTTCAGGAGAACTCAGTTGATTTTCGTTTGTTTAACCAATGCTTTTCAAATCATTGAGTGCCTCAGTGGTGAGCACTGCCCATGGCACCTACACTCCCCCTCCCCACCCCTATGTGCTCACTCCTGGCCCAGGTTCCCTCCCGTTCCCCTCTACTATTCCTAACTTACCAAGAGGTACAGGCAGAAGAAAAATCCTTTTCCCCTATCAGCTGCAATGTGGTGCTGATAAAGAAAGGCAAATCCCAAGTCTATGATTTTGTCTTAGTCCTTTGGGTTCCTACCAAAAGATTAAGCATTTCTCAAACTGCATTTCCTAGAATGGTAGAAAATACAGTAGGTGCTTGGGCAACAAGATCCTGTGTCAAATAAGATTGGGAAATGCTCATGTTCTCCCCCTCCCCTTGGGCATTCACCATACATCCCAGGAGCCATGCAATAGATAAGCCTGTTTAAATTTGCTTAGTCTAGCAATTTCCAAAGTATTTTACCATAATCCATCCTGCCCCCTTCCCCTCCAGAGCTTTTCTTCTTGAAGTCTGACTAATATTTTCTGTAGTACAGAAAAGGCCACAAGAAAGATATCACTGTGAATATGCAACTGGGTTTTTCAACAAATATTTAATAAAATATGACATTTTAGCACCCTTAAGGAAGAGGACAGATGGAACAAGTTTAAACTGCATCAGGAAGTCCTGAGATTATTTCCCAGGAATGGCATCTTAATTAAGAACATTCTTTCTCTGGAAATATCTGATATAAGAAACAGTCAACTATCTTTGTAAAAATGGTTGGAAAGCAACCCTATGAAAACCCTGGGCAGAGACCCAAGATGTATTTTTAATCATAGGGAAGGTGGAAAGGGGAAATGTACAAAGAAATAGAGGGTCACTTCATCTTCCCTGACATAAAATAGTTGTAGAAGAGGAGGCAAAATTTATGGTTGCAGAAGTAATGATCAGCACTGCCCGAGGAACAAAGCGCTGGGAGGCTCATGAAACACAGCGGGGAGTGACATTTCAATACAATGCTGAGGCTCCATAGATTTCGGAAGCAAAGCATCAACTCTCTTATTTGCTCCCCTCCCTATCACTCAGTAATAATAAAATAAACACAAGTGATAAAACCCACCCAAAGCAACAGTGGGTGAAAAAGAAATACTGACCCTCGTTTCATTGCCATTAGCCCTGGAACTGCTTCCTGTCTCCTACAGCAGTGTCTAACACTGATAAAGCCTTGCAATGGGCAAATGCCATCTACGGTGGCGTTGGCACCCACAGATAAAGCAGCAAAGATAATCCCAGCACTCGGAGTCTCATTGGATTTGACAAAGGAAGAATGCTCCTAGCACCCAATCTAGTACTTCTATTTGTGTATGACAGAGGGAGTAAAAGACAGGGTTGTTTTTCTTTACGTTTTGTAGCAAAATAATATTGAAAAAATTAAGCCAAGTTTTCATGATTCATTCCTAATCATCTGTCCTAAATGTTACTTTTTTTTTTTTTCTGATAGGAGACTGTATTGTTGGACATTTTGCATCTGGGCTGCTTAGAAACAGCCAGGAAGGGTTCAGAACTCATGGTAGCCATCACTGCTCTGTTATTTCTTTGTGTCTTTTGGGAGTTATTTTGTTGTTGTTGTTGTTTTTGGAGACAGAGTCTTGCTCTGTCAACCAGGCTGGAGTGCGGTGGCATGAACTCGGCTCACTTCAACCTCTGCCTCCCAGGTACAATCAATTCTTGTGCCTCAGCCTGCAGAGTAGCTGGGATTACAGGCGTGTGCTACCATGGCAGGCTAATTTTTGCATTTTTAGTAGAGACAGTGTTTTGCCATGTTGGCCAGGCTGGTCTTGAATTCTTGGCCTCATGTGATCCACGCGCCTCGGCCTCCCAAAGTGCTGGGATTACAGGCATGAGCCACCGCGCCTGGCCAGTTTTGAGAGTTTTTATGCTATAGAAATGAGAAGGAGAAGCAGAAGGAGTTGCACTCAAATTCCTAACTCTGTTTCCTCAGCGGCCAAGGAAGAAAACTTCAGTGTTTATCCATAACTAAATTATGGCCGACATAAAATGTAATCCTATACAGCTAATAAAAATATAAAAATATTTCATGACATGGAAACATATTCTAAAAAAAAATTAGAATTCCAAATTAGCAGTATAGTAAGATTTAATTTTATTAAAAATAAAACAGAAAAGGCCAGGCACAGTGGCTCACGTCTGTAATCCCAGCACTTTGGGAGGCCAAGGCAAGTGGATCACCTGAGGTCAGAAGTTCAAGATCAGCCTGGCCAACATGGTGAAACCCCGTCTCTACTAAAAACACAAAATTAGCTGGGCATAGTGGTGCACGCCTGTAGTTCTAGCTATCGGGAGGCTGAGACAGGAGAATCGCCTGAACATGGGAGATGGAGGTTGCAGTGAGCCGAGATTGTGTCACTGCACTCCAGCCTGGGTGACAAGAGCAAAACTCCGTCTCAAATAAATAAATAAACAAACAGGAAAAAAAGAGACTGGAAGTAAACAATAGCTGTCTCTGGGCAGCAGATTTGTGAGTGACCCTCATTTGATCCTCTGTGTTCTCAGAATTGCTCTCTGATACATATTTTAGCTACTTAACTTTTTATAGAATAAACCTGCTATGCATATTTGTGGAAAAAAGTAATGAAAATCCACACTATCTTTCTTTAGCTAAATATAAATCTAATGATGTATATTGATGAGTTTCTTTTTTTTCCTAGGGGAAAAAAAACATTTTTTTTTCTAGAAAATGCTGAGTGTGATGGTGCTGAGCTTCATCTTGAACTTGTTCCTGTGGAATGAAGAGGGAATATCAATACTCCAGGGAACACAGACTCTATAGATTTCCTATCTCACTGGTTCAGCACATAAACACACTGAGATATGAATGTGGGAGGTTGGCTAAACAGGGAAAATATAAGTATATTTTGAATAAGTCAAGAAGCTATAAAGAAGATCAGAGATTTGGAAAAAGACAGTTCTCATATTCTTCTTCTGTTATCTACAGGGAAGTCCCTGACACCGCATAATGTCTGTCCCTGGTTTCTTCACATATAAAATAAATGACCAGAGAATTTTGAATAAATTGTATTTGAATGTCAACTCTGGTTAAGGCATCGACTGCAGAATCTCATCAATGGTACATAGAAATTTCAAACGCTTCTGATAAAAAGTAAGCAGCCACAATGACATGTTAGGAAAGAATACTGGCAGGACTAATATTAAAGAGATTAATTTGGCTAAATACTTAAATACAACATGGGTAATAAGCTACATTGTAAATACAGATGTTTCTGCAGCACAGATCTCCCTATGCTTACATCCATTCTGAACAACTTCATGCTTTTGGATCTCTTTACATAAAGCTCTTGGCATAAAGTAGAAGCTAAACAAATGATTTCTTTCCCTTTTCTATTCGAGTGGCTTAGTTCCCAAGAATGAATTAGAGTTTCAGTGGGAAGTTAACCCATGCAGAGGCAAAACTTCTAAATCTTCCATCATATGGGTTTATACAACTATTTCTAAAATGTATGAGGTATTCCACAGTTCCTGCTTTCTAAGCTCACGTATGTGGAGTATGATTTAACTCATCAGCTGATGCCCCATGGCCACCACCATGCTGTGTTGCAGGGAGGTTTCTGAGGTTTGCCACGGACTGCTGCTCCTAAACCTACCACTTGTCTCCAGTGCCCCTTTCTGATCCTCTTACCCAGCCTCACAGCATCCCTTTCCAGGCTTTTTATGGGTTGTTACCTCTATTACTGTATGTTGTAGCTTCTAATGTGCTTCCTTTTTTTTTTTTATGAAAGACAAAGGAGAAGGAGGAAGGAGCCTGGACTATGAATTTTGGGATGGAAAAATCCTCATGGCTTATTTTAATTTTTGACTCTGATATTAGACTGGTAAAGTTGTGGTTTAGTTGCAGAAAATCTGCCCTCCACAGAAGCATGCACTACTAAAAACAAACAGCAAAATTATCCCATATTCCCCAGATAAAATAGTGATGTGTTCCAGTGAAGTATAGAAATTATATCTGTGTCTACAGACACCCCGCCCACCCCCATGCGCTCATACATTTCTGAGCCTTGCTATATCATGTACTCTAATGATAAGCACCTCACAATAATGCTATGAGGGAGGTAGTTATTATTATCTTCACTTTGCAGGGGAGGAAATGAGGGGTTTGAGAGGTTACATCCTCTTCCCAAGATCACCCTGCCAGCAGTGGAGAGTAAGGATTTGAACCCTTGGCTAATCGGATGCCATCATCCTGCTGTACTATTTCCTTATGGTTCAACAGGCTGACAATATAGAGGATCTTTGCTTTCTTTTAATGTATTGGCTTAGATGGAGGCCATAAAAAGTTAACATGTTTGCATGTAAGCAAAATTCTATGACTTAATCTAGCTTTGGATTCCTCCCATTGATTACCTTAAAGCATATGGATTGATGACTAGGATTTTTTATGAAATTGAACTTTCTTGTGGATTTGGAAGAAAATTCAGGCATGTTGATAGCTGAGTTCAATTTAAATCTTTTAGCGATACTATTGATAAGATATCTATGGTTTCACCTTATTTATGTTTTTTTCCCTAGTCTGATTGTCAATATAAATATACCCTTCACAAAATGTGTTTGTAAAAATTGATAAACAACATAAAATTATAGTATTTTAAAATAAGAAAGGACTTTAGAGATCATCTCGTTTTGTACTTTCATTTCTTACTATGAAACCTGAGGTTATGATGTATTCTTGATGTATTCAAGGTAATCAGGGTTGGCAGCATTAGCAGGAATAGACAGTATTTTTATTGTTTTTTAAAGCATGGACAAGATGTTTTATAATCTTATAATCTAGGACCTCATCTATATCATATTCCGTACCCAAATGTTTATCTTACCTCCAAATCCATCAGGCACATATGTTTTAAGAACAATATTGCAGAAAATTGTTGGTAGTGATAATGGTTTATTTCCCTCATTTCGAAGGGAAATGTGTCGATATCCGGCTTGGAGGCCATCAAGCGGGAGGATCCTCTGGCCAATCAGCTTGTTGTTATCATCATACACAGCTATTCTCAAGACAGCCAGGTCCGGCAGGATCACCTGCAAACAGAACAGGACTTTCACTGATTTTTCCAATGCAGCGCCCAAGAACCATGACTCTAAGGAGTGTGGACCAAATCCATGCTGTTCTTAAATGTTCCCTGATGTTGAAAGTAAGTCCATGATCCATCTGCATTCCCCAAAATGTACTGCATGAGCTACAGTGCCCAAGACACTGAGAAAAGCAATTGGAACATGTTTCCTGGAAATTATCTCGTGAAAAATGTTAGATGAAATGAATGTTAAAGATTACCACTTCAACCCTTGTGATTGATCCTTGTCCCCACCCATATAATGGATGAGAAATAAAGCCACTTTCCTTGATCTTAGACATATCAGTGACAGAGTGGGGCCTGGGAATTGGGGATCTAATCCTGTGATCTAATATCTGGCATATTGCTGACATCTATATTTGTTTGTTTTTAAGAATACGAAAGTATCTCTGAATAAATAAAGTATCTCTGAATAAATAAATTAAGTATCTCTGAATAAATGCTTCATGCATAAGAGATAACTTTTGTACATAAATTTGGGTCCTCCTTGTTTCTTGTACTCCTCAGTTTCCAGCAAATGTTGGGATGTTAAATAGAGTAAGATGCGGTAGCTAGAAACATTAACATACTTTGATTCTAAGACACCTACTCCTGCTATCCCCAAACGGAATAAATGAACATAAAATCTGAGTTCAGATAGCAGAAACCTGATTCAGTTACAAAATAGCAACATTACAAAAAGGGTATCCAATGTGTTTAATCAGGAATGCCTTTTTATTGGCTAAAAGCAACCAGGACATCTTGCTTGATCTGAGTGCTATGTTTAAAGCTAGACAATGGACTGGTTGCCTATTTACATCTGAAGGCTATAATTTAATTCCAGCTTAATGAAGATGAAGAGGAGAAACCATGGTAACTTAGCCAATTTCCCTCTCTCTTGCTCCTTATGCAGTGAATAGAGGCTTGGGATTTGCCATTCTTGCCATGTGAGATTAGTGAAAAATACAAAAATGACAAGAAAGAAAACAAAGTTTTTAAAGCACTTGCTAGCAATGAAAAAAACGATTTAACTTCTGAAGAACAGAGAAGGACTCAGAATTGGCATCTCGTTTCTAGTGCCAGAACTATTATATATAAACACTAAGCTGGGTATTTTCTCATTCATCCAAAACAAAGAATGCCTGAGTCAACTTTCTCAGCTTCTAGAAATGTGAGTAGGGATTATTCACTATGCCAAAGAACACTAGCCATACTGGTAACGGATCCAGCTATAACAAATTGGAAATACCAGGGAAGGAAAAAACCAAATCACAGCTATGCATGTAATTTACACCATATCCTGACAGGGGCAGAGAAGAAGACAATGGGATGCGAAGATTGTGTGGATCCCAGCGTAAACTTAAATGTCAAAATGGCCTGTTTCATCAAACCTACATTGATCTCCCTTCATTTGGTTTCTGTAAGCCAGTTACTCTATTCTGAAATGGATAATCCCTATTTTGTTAAGGAAAGAAGCTGATTATCTGTGTTGCATGATGTACAAATGGAGCAGAACCAGCTGGAAAACTTGTGCCTAAAGAAGCAGCAAGAAATCATTGTGGTCAGGACAACAGAGTAAGTAAGAAAGGAAAGTGAACATTCTTGGAGACAGCACTGCCGGTGTGCGGATTTTCCACTGCATCTTCAATAGACAAAAAATAAACCAAGGGAAAAGGTGAATAAGAGATTAACAACCGAACGTTAGAGAGAATGGCTGTGATTGTTTTTAGGATCCAACATACGGTATTAGGAGAAAAAAATAAAACACTAACAACAGTACAAGAAGGATAAGACCTGCAAGTAGGCAACAGGTGTCACTCTTTCAGGAGAGACAGGACCATGCCAACTGACCCATGTAGTGACATCTATTGACCAAAATTTTGGAGTGCAGCATCTTACCTGACTACTTGGCTAAAGGAATAGTGTAAGTTACCAGTAACTTCCAGGGTAGGGAAGAACTCTCTAGTGTACGATGGTGTCCACCAGCAAGGACTCATTCTAAAAGATGGTAAACCCAGAGCTGAGGCACTGCTGTGCAGGAGATGGGCTCTTCCAAGGAGGAGAGGAGAACCAAAAGGAGGCAGGGCCAAATAGAACCAATGATCCTATGACAGCTACAGAAGTTAGCCATTAGGAGAAGAGAAAAAGAAGATGTTGTCGGTTGAATAAGTGCCCCTGTATCGTGTAGCGTCTGTGAACTAAAACATGGCTCCCAAGTTATTAGAGTAAGTTTGACGTGCTGAAAATGTCCTACCTTCCGAAATACAAATGACTCTTCATTGTAAACTGGATTGAGTCCATTATTCATAACCATGCGAGTTCGGAATTCCTTACGTATGGTGTCAGTGGGCAACCCATACATATCCACCTCTACGTAGGTGCCAATTTTCTTATCTGATAAGAATTGACCTGATATAACCTGTAGCAGCACGAACGAGAGCAAAGAGAAGTAAGCTCTGTGTAAGCATCAGTAGCAAAAAATAATCAGGAAGTAAGAAATTCTGTCTTTTGGGTGGGAGCAGGAATTTCAATTATCTATGGCAATAATGTATTCATTTCTATCAAACCAAAACATTATCGAACAACTACTATAGGCAAAAAAACCCCAGCTGTTTCAAGCAGATGTTCTACCTTCTAGAACTGTCTAGAAAAAAAACAAAGAAAAAATATATATGAATCATAATACAAATAGTGTCCACGGCCTCTTCATCTCACCTAAGTGTCTACACCTATGAAATGAAGTGATGAATTCAGGTATGTCCTAAGACCCTTCATAGCTCTGAAATTCCATCATGCCATACTTATTAATGAATTCTTTTAGAAGTCTTGAAAAGAGACACACAGAAAAGTGAAGCTAGAATTTGTCTGTCATTACTGATATTGACACTGGTCAGCTAGGACAGTTTTATAATGTTAGTCTATCTACGATAAAGCTATGGAGAGATGATTTTTCATTTAGTGTTTAAATGACTATAGCCACTTATTAGGGTTTTTTGTTTACATTATTTTCTAGCTAACAATCTGAAACAGCTTTTTTGAGGTATATTTGACATACAATAAATTATATGCATTTAAAATGTACAATTAGGCTAGGCACGGTGGCTCATCCCTGTAATGCCAGTACTTTGGGAGGCTGAGGCAGGTAGATCACCTGAGGTTAGGAGTTTGAGAACAGCCTGGCCAACATGGTAAAAACCCATCTCTACTAAAAATATAAAAATTAGCCAGGTGTGGCGGTGGGCACCTGTAATCCCAGCTACAGGTGCAGGAGAATCACTTGAAACCGGGAGGAGGAGGTTGCAGTGAGCCGAGATTGTGCCACTGCACTCCTGCCTGGGCGACAGAGTGATACTCAGTGTCAAAAAATAAAAAACAAAAAAAAAATGTAAAATTAGATCAGTTGGGACATATGAGCACATCTGCGAAACCACCTCCATAATTAAGATGATAAACATTTGTATCATCACCTGAAGTTTCTTTGTGCCCTTTTGTAACCCATTCCTCCCTGCCCTTTTTTCAAAGGCCATCACTGATTTACTGTCTGTCACTATAATTTGCATTTTCTAGAATTTTGTATAAATGGAATCAAGTAGCAGGTACTTTTTTGATGGTATCTTTCACTTTAAGTAGCTAATAATTTTACTAGTGAAAAAATGGGTCTCATTTTTTAAAAAGGGGGTGGAATCTTAAGTCAAAGTTGTGAGCAGCACATGGATCTTGCAATTTAACATTCAATATTTTATAATTTCTTTCAAGGACCACTTGTGTATACATTTATACTACCTTGTGATGAGCAGGGGCCTTACCTGCACTGAGCAAGTGGCTGCAATAACACCATCAACAGGAGTTTCAGAGAAGGGGTCAAATGTTCGATCAGGCCGCCTCATGAAATCTGGTTTGAGAAGGTACCTGGTAGGACAATAGCATAGAAGTTTATTAGTAGGTTTTACAAAGACTAAAACACTCGCTAGTTGAAACAATGGATGCTTCCTTTTCTCCATCTGTAACACAGGAGCTAGGATTTTAGGCAGAGGGTCCTAAGGATGGAAGAGAATGTGCCCGCCCTTATGCACAACCTTAAAGAGCTGCAGCCTCAGTGGTATCCAGGACTTCCTGATCCTATCATCTTCTCTGGAACTTTTTTATCCCCTGGTCACCTTTAAATACTTTTCTTTATATGTATAAAATAAAATGCAAAGAATAACAATGAAAAACCAATTATATTAGCTATAGTTATCAAAATATAAAAATATGTGATATTCTACCTCTGTATTAATTGTACTTGTAATAATGCATTAAATTATAAGATCTAATGGTAAGATCTAATTATGATGACAATAATCTAAAGTACAAAAATATTTTGAGACAGCTGTAACAATAGTAGTGAAATATGACAATGTCTGTGATTTACATTGGTGAGAGAGTCACGGGTACCACTAATGTGACTGTGGATTGTTGTCTACATTCACAATCAAAGGTAATTGACATTTCAGCTAGAGGTAGGTGAAAATAAAAATAAATTATTTCTCCATTTCTAGTAGAAACAATCAGGCAAGAAAACAAATTAAAAGGCATCCAGATTGGAAAGAAGGAAGTAAGCCTATTTCTAGTCACAGATGACATGATCCCATAAATAAAAAAAAACTCTAAGGAATCCACTAAAAAAACTATTGGAATAAATAAATTCACCACTATTGCAGGATACCAGATAAACATATAAAAAGTCAATTGTATTTCTATACAATGACAATGAACATGCAAAAATGAAATTAAGAAAACAATTCTATAACAACAGCAAAATATAAACCACTTAGGAATAAACTTTTTTAAAAAAAATAAGTGTCTACAATTTGAAAACTACAAAACACTGTTTAAAAAAATTAAAGAAGAGCTAAATAAATGGGAAGACATCTTGCCTTCATGGGTTGGAAGACCATATTGTTAAGCTGGAAGTATTTCTCAAATTGATGTGTGAATTCAGTGTAATCTCTATCAAAATCCCAGCTGACTTTTTGGTAGAAACTGACAAGCTAATCCTAAAATTCATATAGAAACTCAAGGGATCAAGAATAGCCAAAACAATGTTAAAAGAGAGAACAAAATTGGGTGTCTCACACTTCTTGATTTCAAAACTTATTACTAAGCTACAAGATTTAATCAAGACAGTCTGGTACTGACATAAAGAAAAACACATAACTCATTGAGACAGAATCAAAGTCTATAAATAAATCCACGTTATCTATGGCCAATTGATTTTTGACAAGGATGCCAAGACCAATCAATGGGTGAAAGAATAGTCTTTTAAATAAATAGTGACAGGATAATAGGATAGTTCCATGCAAATAAATAGATAAATAAATAAAACTGGATCTTTACCTTATACCATATACAAAAATTAGCTCAAAGAGGATAAAATAACTAAATGCAAGAGCCAAACTACAAAATTCCTAAAAGAAGCCATAAGGACAAATCTTTATGACCTGAATTTGGCAATGGATTCTAAACATGATACCAAAAGCACATGCAATGATACACTGGATTTTCTGTTGAAAACTTTTATGCTTCAAAAGACACTATGAAGAAAGTAAAAAGACTAGTCACAAAAAGGAAAAAATTTGCAATTCATATATCTGATTAGAGGCCTGTATCTAGAATACATAAAGAATAACTCATCTAAATAATGGTCAAATGATCTGAACAGACATTTCTCCAAATAAGATATACAAAAAACCAAGAAGCACATAAAAAGATGTCTAACATCATTAGTCATCAGAGAAATGAATATCAAAACCACAATGAGATATCACTATGTATACACTAGGATGACTGTAATTAATGAGTCAGATAACAATAAGTGTTGACAAGGATGTGGAGAAATTGGAACTCTCATATGTTGCTAGTAGGAGTGTAAAATGATGCATTCACTTAGAAAGACAGTCTGGCAGTTCCTCAAAGAGTTAAACATAGAGTTACCATATGACCCAGCAATTCCATTCTTATGCATGTAACCAAGATAAATGGAAAGACATATTCATAGAAGAACTTGCATATGAACATTCATAGCAGCATTATTTGTAATAATCCAGAGATGGAAATTACCCAAATGTCCATCGATGAATGAATGTATGGCACAAAACATGGTATATCCATACAATGGAAAATTATTCAGCAATAAAAATAATAAAGTATTGATACACATTACAACCTGGATGAACCTTGAAAACATTATGTTAAGTGAAAGAAGCCAGGCACGAAAGGCCATATGTTATATAAATTCATTTATATCAAATGTTCAGAATAGGCAAATATAGAGACAGAGGGTAGATTAAAATTCCTATTGGGAGATGAAAGCTAAACGATACAGATTTTGAGGCGATGAAAATGTTCTGCAATTACCCTCACTACACAATGTCTGCCCCTCATGTCCACGGGGTAGTGGTCATATAATCACAGATTCCATAATTTCCCTGAAACTTGTGTCAAAAAACTTAAAAAAAATTAAAAAATTATTAGAAATAAGTATAACCATAGATTTAAAGAATCCATACTATGAGCAGTACATCAATGAAAATAAAAGTACTTTTTTCCAAAAGTAAAGGTTTGCTTTTAAATGTAAAAGAATCAAAATTATGGGAACTCAAATCTCTAATTTTTCTTAGAAGCATAACTTTTATTAATTTCAAGTCTAGATGATGTCAACTTTATTATCTGTTAAAATACAACCCAAAAGGGATCCTGAGTCATGATATTTTTTCTTTAAAGTTTAATGTCACTTTTCTTAGTTTTGAAAAAGTCACCATTCATTGTTATCTTCTAAGACTGAACAAAAAACAAAGTGTTAAAAATATTCCCTTACATTTGATAGTCCAAAAAGGAATCTTTAAGAGACAACACTGATTTTTTATCAAGAATATAGACATTTACACAATTGTTGAAATGTTGAAGGTAATTTTGAACACTCTTGTCTCCAAGAGAATGCAACCCACAATATTAATATAAAAGCTCTCTATATAGAAGAGATTATCTTCTGTATTCATGGAATTTTAGATTTGCAGCTTTTTTTGTGGCTAGAGTTGGCAACTAGAAAATATGATGATACAGCAAAAGGTAAAGAATCAGGATGGAAAGTAGGTGAGTAGCTACAATACTACGCCTGCATCTCCGAGGGAAGCCCACCAGCTTTCTCTGGAAGGAAAACCGACACAGACTGTGAGGGGAGGTAACAATGGTGGGTCTGGCTTTCATGACACAGGCAGCATTTGGACCCCAGCTGTGGCAAATGAGGGATTCTGCCTCCCGAGGAAGGTCGGGACTTGGATGAATACAGGACTGGAGTCACCTTTCCAGTTCTGAATCTCCTTGGGAAGTGAGTGTCCAGAGATTCCTCACTTTCCACAGTCCTTTGTTAAAGATCAAGAGCCCTTCCTACCCACCAAAATAAGAAACGGGATCACAATGACATCTCAGGGTCAAAAGCATTCTTCCACATCCCCCCTTTCAAATCTGCATAGAACACTCATCTCTGAAGGAGTGAATTGATCCAAAATGAGAAATGGCAGGGGAAAGGGGCAAGAAACCCATATCCAATTCTCCAAAGCAGGCATGCTCCGGTGAAATGGGTTCATTTTGTATACTTGAAGAGAGTAAAACAGAGTATGCAGAAGCTTGTCAGGACCATGAGATAAGCCCTGGCCTGGGATAGGACACTTAGCAAGCTTTCTTTGAAGGTCAAAGGAGCATCTGTTCTGGGTCCAAGGCGGTCTGAGAGAGCAGCAGAGGTTGCCTCTCATATCCCTGGTGGCTGTGAGGGTGCAGGGGGCTGGGGCATTGATAGGGAAGCTGAAGCCAGAATCTGGCACCAGAGCTGGCTATGTGGATGTGCTAATTGTGCAGTTCTACAGGGCCCTGAACTCAGAAGGGCCCCATGCTTGGTTTAATGCTCTGCATCCACCATCCTAAATTCTCAGGAGCCCTTCATTTTCATTCTGCATTGGGCCCTGCAAATGACATAGATGGTCTGTTTGGTGCTTTCTGGTACAGAAAATGAACTCATTCCAGACATCTAGGTCTGTGCGGTAGGCACAGGCACAAGGCCAAAGCCAATGCCAAGACAGGGATCCAAGGATTTTCTGTGGACTGTGTAAGGCCTTGGAAGGCAAGCGAGGGAGAGAAGAAGGGTTGCTAACCAGGTGGGTGGATAGGAGCACCAAGAATGAGAAAATGGGGTCATAAGGAAATGCATCCTATTTCATCATACCTAAGATGCCATCAGTTGTCCAACATGCCATTATTTTATTTAGCTGCAAGAAAGCAAAATGGCTGCTGATGATAACTGCAAGTTGCTATGCTATACAGTATCCCCCTTTATTTGCAATTTTGCTTTCTGAGGCTTCAGCTACCCCTGGTCAACTCTGTTCCAAAAATATTAAAATAGAACCTAATATAAAAATTGGAAAATAAAAATTTGAAATAAAAAATCTATTTTAAAAGATAGAAAACCCAATAGGAAAATGAGTAGAAGTTCTTCACAAAACAGAATATCCAAATAGCCAATAAACATAAAAGAGAAAAAATTAAGATATTTTGAGACCACATTCACCTAACTTTTATTACACTATATTGTTATAACTGTTCCATTATTAGTCATTGATGTTAATCTCTTACTATGCCTAATTTATAAATTAAACTTTATCACAGGTATGCAATGTGTAGAACCACAATATATATAATACATGTTGGGTTTGGTGGTTTCAGGCATCCACTGGGGTTCTTAGAACGTACGGCCTGTGGGCAAGGGAGAAATGCTGTATAAAAAACAGCCTCTGAATCATAAAATGTCATACCATTTTGATATCAATCACTCACTTTCCTATGAAAGTCTAAAAAGATTTTAGGTATTAATTTACACTATTTTGTTTCATTTGCAATTAGGGAAATGTCTTCCATTTTTCCATCTTCAAAAACGAGACTGTTAAAAGCACTGCTCACTTTCCTGGTAACATTCACACTTATTGGGCCCAGTGGTGCGTCCTCCCACAAGATCAGCCAGGGAGCACAGAGGGTTTTCCCAGGAGGGTATCTGACGTTTTGCTACAGTTGCTAGATCCTGGGGGTGTTTGTGTACTTTGCACACTGATGTTCTATATAAAACAGGGATTCTTTGCCTCCACAGGCCTAAAGGGCACAGAATGCCT
This sequence comes from Homo sapiens, assembly GCF_000001405.40. NCBI lineage: Eukaryota > Metazoa > Chordata > Mammalia > Primates > Hominidae > Homo > Homo sapiens. Next base: position 9,414,521 of record NC_000020.11, on the reverse strand, counting down.
CTTTAAGAAATGCAGTCCTCAGACTCAGCCCAAAGGGGCAGTTTTTAAAAGTCTTTGCAGGTGGGTGGGAGAACCACAAGGGTGACACGGTGAGAACCATGCAGTGCCCGAGCACCAGTGACAGGAGCTCCTGTGCAGCACCGGGCCCCACATCTACCATCGCCATGGAACACAGAGGCATGCAGGTGACGGCAATTTCTTCTCTTTTCCCTGTCACTGACAGCCTTTGCCACCAGCTGGGTGTATGGGAAGGGGAATTAGGAGATTACAGAGTCAACAGCATCGCTGATACTTTATCAAGCTGGGCTGCCCCACTGCACAGGCTATTTTTCAGCTTTTCTGGTGAGGTGTATGCTTTCAGTCACATAGCGTCCAACACATCAGCACAGAATTCAGGCTAAAGTAGCAACAGTATCCTTTTCTGTGAAGGTATTTTAAAATAAATGAACGCATTTACAAATGACCAGTGAGGTCAGGCATAGTAGCTCATGCCTGTAATCCCAGCACTTTGGGAGGCCAAGGCAGGCAGATTGCCTGAGCTCAAGAGTTCGAGACCAGTCTGGGCAACATGGTGAAACCCCATCTGTACAAATAAAAAAACTAGCCATGTGTGGTGGTGGGCACCCCTAGCTATTTGAGGGGTGGAGGAGGGAGGATGGATTGAGCCCAGGATGTCAAGGCCTCAATGAGCCACGTTTGCACCACTGCACTTGAGCCTGGGTGACAGAGCGAAACCCTGTCTTAAGAAAAAATAAATAACGGTGGAGAGAGTGAGACACTGCACGTGCTAATAATGGCTAAGCAGAAATTCTAGGAAAAACAAACAACATAGGATTGTCAGGACTTTTTTTTTTTTTTTTTTTGAGATGGAGTCTTGCTCTGTCACCCAGGCTGGAGTGCAGTGGCACGATCTTGGCTCACTGTAAGCTCTGCCTCCCAGGTTCACGACATTCTCCTGCCTCAGCCTCCCAAGTAGCTGGGACTACAGGTGCCCGCCACCACGCCCGGCTAATTTTTTGTATTTTTAGTAGAGACGGGATTTCGCCGTGTTAGCCAGGATGGTCTCGATCTCCTAACCTTGTGATCTGCCCGCCTCGGCCTCCCAAAGTGCTGGGATTCCAGGTGTGAGCCACTGCCCGCCTCGGCCTCCCAAAGTGCTGGGATTCCAGGTGTGAGCCACTGGGCCGAGCCGTCAGGATTTTTTTTATACAGAAACAATACTCCCTGCATCCGGCCAGGCTGCCAGGATTCCTCATGGCATGTTAGACAGCTGATGGCATCTTAGGTGTGATCGCTGAGGTGGGCAAGGAAAGTGCTTCAAGCATCACCGGGCCACTGCAAGTTTTCAGAAGTGAGCACAGCCATGCCCGACGGGTCCTGTAAGAGCCAGGAGTGCTGAGGCTGACTCCTTGGGGTCCTTAAAGGACGACTGAACAGAGCACTCATTGAATTTTGCAATGTCTGTGTGTGTGATTGATCACAAGGCCTTAAGCTTTTCTTAAATCTCACTTTTGCACAGAAATGTGCAGTTCCTGAAGTACTTTCGTACACTCATTCAACCTGACTGAGCTGTCGTAAACTGTTAAAGAAAAAAATGTACACAAACACTTGTTAAACATGGTAAAGTGGACTTTATTCAAAGGGGTAGGGAGCCATGGTGATAGGTATAAGGGCTCAACCCTTACCCCAACAAGCGTACATGGAGATTTAGAACCATGGAGTAAGGTGAGCGCCAGCAGATGGAAAATTACTATGAGGAAACATCAAGGATAAGGACTTCTGGCCAAACTGACTTGATAGGATTATTGCTGAAGGCAGGCCAAAGTGACAGGATATCCAGGGTGGTCAGATACCAAGGGCTGGGGATTTTCACTAAACTGAACTAGCACGATTGTTGCTCAGACTGGATTCTACAGTGACTGAGAGGGAAGCCCAAAGGTGGGTCTCATCAGAAAGGACTCGGTTTTTGTCAAAGGACAAAGTCTTTTTCAGTTCCCTGTTTCGTTCTAGAAAAAAGACATTTTTTTTCCTTTGAGTACAACAAACCCTGTGCGACAGGTGTCACCGTCTTCATTTTATCAAGCAGAGAAGAGAGGCTCTGGGTCTAACACACCTGCTCTAGGCAATACAGCAAGAACTAGGAGCAGCTGGGAGCTGAGCTCAAACCCTGATCTTTAGACTCCCAGCCTAGGGCTTTTACTGACAGTCCAGGGCTGAACCCCTGGGGCTTGATGCCTTGGCCCACTACTTGGGAGAGGAGGAGGTCTACAAAGCAATTTATGCGCAAAATCTCCTGGGTTGGAACACTTGGCATTAAATAACAAAATTGCTTTCACAAAATTCTGAAATATGAATTCAGATCTTTCTCTTCCCAGCTACACAATTTATTTTCTTCCAAAGCACACAGCAGAGGAAAATGTAGGGCATGCTCCAGGTATGTAAGTGGTGGGTGATTTGGGGAATAGCATAATCACTGTGTTTGCAGCCACATTGGCAGAGAACCATTCACCAGGCTGGCAGAGGGAGGCAGAGTGCATGCTGAAAAGTCATTCCTAACTCACAACCACTGAAAAATGTTATCTTGACTGGCAGTGTTCAGTGATAAAAAGATATCCAATCAGGTGAGCCACCATGAAGAAATTCCTAATAGCATCATTATGACGGGATAGTTTTCCATTGGATTCCTCTACAGGCCTTTGGGCAGTGGTCTGGAGTTATTAATATTTACTTGTTTGGGGACAGATGCATGAGGCTGAGGTGGGGTGAGGGGATGACCACATAGTTGTGTTTTTTTTTTTTTATCTCAAGAGAATTCTAATTTTATATTTTCATTTAACCTTTCAGTGTTTCTGTAGAATTAACATTTCCTATTTCACTTCTTGGTTCACAGTTTTCAAGAGTGCTATTTAAGGAAACTAGGACAATATTCACAGCATTATTCTTTGATAACTGCTACTTACAAGACACAAAAAAGAATCAGTAGAGGACAAAGGTTTATTCCCAACTGAATGAAATTCAGCTCGACACCCACAACTTCATTACATATGAAATTAACTTCATTATTTGATTTGTCCTAGGTAAAATGCACATATTTAATGCCTACATCTCCAGTTAATGTCCAAGTGTGCAGGGATTATTACCTGTCCCAGACATAAAATCCTCCACTATTGATTTTAAAGTGAGAGGATTAAACTGTAGCATATGTATGAACTGCTTCACTTGTGATTTAAAAAACCCAAAACCTGCTTAGTAAAATGGGGTAGATGAAGAATGTATATGTGCAAATATTCTCTAGGTATTTCATTTCTTTCTATTCCATCCCTCAAACCCAGCTTAAATTCTGTAGCCCCTAATTGAAAATGACATGGCTTCATTAGAGCTGTAGTATGGAGTTCTCAATCTAGGTGAAAACAGTTTAAATCATATTACTCACCCGCACGATCCATTATACTCAAATTTTCCCTGATTCAATTGCATCGCTAAATCTGTCAAGAGACAAAAATAATTTAGCATCTTGTCTTCCTAGACAAAAAAGACCCTGACGGGGTGATTTGAAACAATAGGTATCAGATTGCTCCTAGGCCCACAGGTCCCTCTTTAATACTACAAGGTTCTGCTTGGTCTATTTAAGGCATACTCTCTTCCATGTTGAATTGACCTCATGTTTCATTTAAATTAAACATAAAATGTGTTTTCATAAAGATCATGCTAAAGGTCACTTTTAAAACTGGATTCAATATAGGAGTCACACCATTGTTTGATGAGTATTGAGAGTAGAGATATCCAACCTGCTACAGTGGGAGAGGATGGGTCTCAGGATCCCTGGGCAGAGGAACCCTGGAGATACCCGGGAGGGTGAATATGAAACTTGATTTAAAAGACTGGAAAATGAACTAGGTAAGTATCGCATAAAACTTGGTGGCATGCTTCCAGGATGGGAGGCAGGGGGAATTACTCTAGTGGGGTCTACACTGGCAGCACATGGCTTTTGACTTCTGTCTTGCAAGTGAATAACATTTTTTCTTTCTTCCCATCCGCAAAAGAAATGGGTAAACTGATGGATATTTTTTCCTCTTCAAAATGTTGTGTTTAAACCTAATATTATAGAATAAAACATAAGCTGGGTTAGCCATTTAATCCATATTATGGACTCACTGACAACTGAGAACACAAGTTGGGCTTTTTTAAGTAAGTGAAGTCATCAGAGCCTTGTTACTGGGCCCCAGCTAGAAACACTCAGGATTGTATTGGTAGCTATCACGTCACAGTCTAACCTAGCAAGCACTGTGGGGACCCCATGCAGAATGGTGACTCCAGTAGGAGGAGCTTCTGGTCACTGGGGAGGCTCCTTCAAGGCATGAGAAGCACAGTCAGCTCACACTCATGCCAAAGGAATGAAAGTCAAAGGATCTTCCACTCAATCCACATAGCAGGGAACGAAGTGACAGGGATTCTTAAAATACAAAATAGATTTTAAAAAATCCTCAAATTGGGAAGCATGGGCAGTTCTCTTAATAGCAAAGAGTTGAAGGAAAAAAGAGCTTTCTGGTTTTGTTTTATTTTACCAGTTGTAAGAACCATGCTGTAGAATTGACCATCTACAGTGAAGAGGGTTTGTGGCATATTTCTATCTATTCTATTTCTATTTTGCTACCTCTAGTCTTGATACTGTGATCCTAGGCTCTTAAGCAAACCTCAAAAATTTTAAAAATGTGTTTATCAATTATAAAAATTTACTCTTTTCCTTCCAGAAAAAAAAAGTCATTATATATTGGAAACCTGACTTTGAGTACACTTTGGAGGACCAAGTTATAGATTAGTACCTCTTCAAATATGTAACTCCTTATATACCATTTTAGTGGCATTTACTTCAAAATATTCTGTATTTGTTTAGTGAAGTGCCCCTGCATCAGTCATATTTGCTGAATGTTCACAGTGGTCAGGGTGTTTGCCAAAGGAGAAATGAGTCGCTGTTACTGTACAAAGATACTCAAATTCTTTTCACTTAATTCTGCCTCTGGAAACAAAGATAACAACTTTGATCCAAAAGGAAGAAAAATGAGAAATATTTTGGAATATGGGATAATGGTTAGCAGGAATAGTCATGGCATTTATGAAAGGAATTAAATTCCAATCACAACACATTATCTTCTACCATTGTTTGCTCTATTTTGGTTTTTTTTTTTTTATTTCTCACCATTATATAAATCCAATAACACATTGCTTTGCCATATGTCTGCTTCCTTTAAAAAATGCCCACAGCCAACTGATGGGAAGTGCTGGCACCATCCTGTCAAAGTGTTCTCATGGAATTTGGGGTCACTGGACATCAGCTCCTACCTGGGGTTTGATAGTTCAGTGAAACCATCTGGCAGCCAGCGTTCCAGAAAATCTGAGGCATGTAATTACTGGAATCGACTCGGCCTCCCTTGGGGTAAATGCGACTCATTTGCCGTTTGTTATAACTGTAACTTATTAAGGAAAACAGAAAAAAAGAGTCCTACAGCAGAGAAAAATAAACAACAAAGAGCTAAAACAACAAAGGTCTAGGCCAACAATGACAAACAAGTAGACAGCACAGAGCAGATTTCACATTTACAAATGATGCTTAAGATCACAGTTCACTGTGTGGATTATAAAAACAATTTTCATTTGGGCAGATTGTCACAGCTGCCATGGTCTTTCCCACATATCATTTTATGAACTCCACCACCAGAATGAGATATTAGCCATTTATCTATTTCAGAGGCTCTTGCCAAACCAACGTGAGTCAACCACTCATTCCACTTGATACATAAGGATACTTGACAAATTCAATTGCATGTGTCTTCAAGTAGCCAAGACCGACTGATTCATTAAAAGAAGACATGTTATAATGAATATTGCGTTCTGTAAAAGAAAAGCAAAGATGGATTCAGGAACTCTGCCATCAAACCCTCACCGAAAAACAGCAATAAATAAATGCAATTACACCCTGAATCATGAGGCCTTGGAGGCTAATGCTACATTATCATGTCAGTAGCTCCTACTTTCATTGACATCCTGTGGATGGAGACATCTGTCTTTTCAGCCACCACCGAAATATGAATTTTTGATGATAATGATGATTACGATGGCTTCTCTAGCCCAGAAATGAAGTTTTTAAATACTTCTTATGTTTTTTTGAAAACCAGCTTTTGATTAAAAGGAGTCTTGTGAATGCACTTGGGAACAGAAGAAGCTACATGCCCAGCACTAACAAATCCATAGTCTCTCATCGCCACCTTGTGGTTGAAGTCGTGAATGACAATGTAATGTCACCACATACCAAGGTGGCTTCTATGGTCTGTGAAACAAAAATAAGGTGAGGTGGAACAGCCCCCATGCCCACAAAGAAAAATGGCAACAAATTAGATAAAAGCTCATCAGCACCATAAAAGAAAATCAAGCAAAAAAGGCGACTGCATTTAACCTTTGGTGTTACCTTCTGCCACATGGAAACCTTGAAACTTTACAGGCTGGGCGTAGTTGATCATTGTGGACAAATATGGATGGATATTAGTGGTAGCACCTACATATTTATAAGATGCCATCCACGCCTGCTCATCTTCTACAGTGACCAGGCCCTACAAGCACAAGGAAGAAAACATATAAGTTGATGACTTCAGTAGGACCCACGGATACGTGCTGCAGATTTCCTTAATAAAGATAATTGCACACACACAAATTGAAAGGTAAAGGCTTTTTCTTCCTCAATTATGCTAAAGGATACTTTAAGAAGTTAGTGTCTGTTGTAGCTCTGAATAATGCAAAAGGAGGTAATCATAAAATATTAAGCTTATCTTACATTTGTAGGACATTTTTAGATTTTTAAGGGACTTTATTCAAGAAATTACTGGCCGGGAACGGTGGCTCATGCCTTTAATCCAGCACTTTGGGAGGCCAGGAGTTCAAGACAAACTTGGCGAACATGGCAAAACCCCATCTCTACTAAAAATGCCAAAAATTAGCTGGGTGTGGTGGCGTGAGCCTGTAATTCCAGCTACTTGGGAGGCTGAGGCAGGAGAATCGCTTGAACCCAGGAGGCAGAGGTTGAGGTGAGCTGAGATTGTGCCACTGCACTCCAGACCAGGCAACAGAGCAAGACTCCATCTCAAAAAAAAAAAAAAAGAAATTACTATATTGGACCTCACAGCAATGCTATGAAATAGATATAGCATCATATTTTTACAAATTGAGGCACAACATCAAAAATAGTGACTCTCGAACATTAGCGTGCATCAGAATCACCTGGAAGACTTTTTAAACTAGAACAGATTCCTGGGCCCCACACTCAGAGTTTCTGTTGAAGTGAGTCTGCAGTGAGGCCAGTCATTGCTGTAACTAGTTCCCAGGTGCTAATGATGCTGCCTCTTTGGGGACTATGTTTCACTGTAGCACTCTAGAATGTAAGCAACATACATACGTGGTTTATAGTATTTAAAAAGCACTTAATCTTAAAAGTAACCTAATAACTTGCTGCATAGGACATATTGAAACTGCATTACTTTGCATACAGAAAAAAGAAAACAAATTAGTTTATTTATTGATAGAAAAAACAACAATAAAACCAACAACAAAAATACCTTCAAAAGTGATCAATATTTTTGCTGAGAACTTTGCAAAGCTAAATTTCCTGCATAAAGTGAATCTAGTTGGATAAATTCCTTAGTTGGATGATGTAATCCATGAGTTAAAAAATGGTCAGATGCTGGGCGCAGTGGCTCACGCCTGTAATCCCAGCACTTTGGGAGGCTGAGGCGGGTGGATCATGAGGTCAGGAGATCGAGACCATCCTGGTGAACACTGTGAAACCCCATCTCTATTAAAAATACAAAAAAATTAACTGGGCATGGTGGCAGGCACCTGTAGTCCCAGCTACTGGGAGGCTGAGGCAGGAGAATGGCGAATGAAGTGAACCCGGGGGGCAGAGCTTTCAGTGAGCGGAGATCACGCCACTGCACTCCAGCCTGGGCAACAGAGTGAGACTCCATCTCAAAAAAAAAAAAAAATGGTCAATTTGTTTGTCTTAACTGATCACTTAACAATCTGAGCATTCTAAATTATCAAACTGATTTCACCAATAAAAGCCTGAAACAATAATCAAGTAATGTAATTTGGTTTTGTTTTTGTTTTTATCATTTTCTTAATGTGTCCTCCTGCTCCCCCACCAAACAACGGCCATGTCCGTTCCTTCCATGTGTGTTTAATAATAATAAATACCACCAGTGCTATGAGCTGAGCACCAGGATGAGTTCTTGCACACACAGTCTCATTACTGTCTGTGATGTGTAGTGAGGATTAGAGTCCTACCCACTGACCACATGAGAAGATTGATGCCTTGAGAATTAAAATAACTTAGCTAATAAATGACAATGACCAAATGTCAATCTGTATACTGTTGACCCAAATTATGAATTATGAAATTCTAGAACAAGAGAGTAATGTACTCACAAATATTTTGGGACAGGCCTGCGACCATATTTATTCATAATTCTTTCAAGTTTAATATTTAGAGGGTGAGAAGATACGATCTCAACTTCAAATAGGATAGGACCCCACAGGCAGCAAGGCAGTATTTTCCGAACCTCTGAAGTATGAGAATGAAGTTATTAGGCAAACTTCTGCCTGTGGCTGTCAGCCTCACTGTTGTAGGATAAACCATAAATACTTACTAAATAAAACCACTGTGATCACTTGAAGAACTTTGAAGAGGATGAAAGAAAGTGAAAATGTAACTTTACCTTTCCTACAATAAGGCCAATAGCTAATAACATCAAATAATACTCTTAGAAGTTATGCAGTGTAAAATTAATCAGTGATCTTCCAGAATGTCAATGTAGTGGGAACTAAGATCATCCTTTCTATTATGCTATAATATGGATTTGATGACCTATTCACTCATTTTTATTTTCAAATTCAATATGCTGATGATCATGTAGTTCCACTGCAGGAATGAAATCTCTAATTCCAGTGAAGAAAATGCCTTACTGCATTAAATACCTACTTTTAGAAAATCATCTTACTCATCTGCCCTAGTTTTGTGATTTTTATCAGGATTTAATCATTTTTTCACCACAACTGATTCCTTCCTTTGAAGATTTTTTAAATTAGATGCATCTGATTTAAAATGTGCAAGGGAATTATTTTGTTACCTTTTTGTTGTTTTCATGTTCAAGGTCATCTGAAGCCTAATTAGAGAAAGGAAATAATTTGTTTACTTCTCTAAAGGGCAAAATTCCAAATTTATTAGCCATACATACATAGATATTTAAATAAGTGTAGGTAAACTTGTTATTCTATTTATTTGCTAAGGTGGGACATTACTGATGACAAAAAGCCATGGATGGCCTCACTGTTTTATGCACCAGAAGGGCTAATCTTAATGCTCTTTCCCTCCTTCGTGGACAGTCTTTACCTACTTAGATGTTTTATTATAATTATTTAATTAGTGCTTTAGTCATGGGGCTTAGGAAAAGCAGCATGAATGGTCACTCTTGAGTAACTCAGCATTCATGTCTGGGTATTTGTTATGGACTGTTTGCTGGTGCAGCCCCCCATACTGTCCCCAATTCATATACTGAAACCTTAATTCTCATGTGATGGCATTTGAAGATGGGGCCTTTGGGAGGTAATTTGGTCATGAGGGCCAAGCCAAGAGAGAGCTTGCCTCCTTATTCTCTGTCCACCACATGAGGACATAAACACGAAGAAGGCCCCCCACATTAGGAACTGATTGCGTGGAACCTTGATCTTAGACTTCTTAGACTCTAGAATGGTGACAAATAGTTTTCAGTTGTTTAAGCCAATGGTATTTTTGTGATAGCAGCACCAACTGACTAAGACACTAAGACAATATTGATGAAGGCTTTAGCAACTTTTTTTTTTTTTTTTTTTTTGAGACACAGTCTTGCTCTGTTGCCCAGGCTGGAGTGCAGTGGCACAATCTTGGCTCACTGCAACCTCCGCCTTTTGGGTTCAAGCAGTTCTCCTGCCTCAGCTTCCTGAGTAGCTGGGATTACAGGCGCGTACCATGGCGCCTGGCTAATTTTTGTATTAAAACAATACTCTTGAGTCTTAATAGATGTTCAATATTCTCAGAGTAGTCACAATTCCCTATATCAGAAAAGATAGTGTGTAAAGGCAATATTCCTTTGGCTTTGCTCATCAGACAAATACTCTCCCCTCTTCCTATCACCAAATGTATCTGCCTACCTGCATCTTCATCCACTGTCTTCACTAATCAGGTGTTCCTGCTCCTGTGAAGGGCCACACCTTTGCACCACAGCAATCCCACCCTCTTCCACCTCCTCAAGGAATTCCAGGCAGTTATCCCCTCTCTTTCCTGCAAAACTAATCTCTTCCTCTCTACTGCACCACTTCCAAGTTTTCAAACACACTCCAGATTCATTCATCCGAAAAAGAAAACACTCCCTTGACTCCTCAGGTGCCCTTGGCCACCAGTCCATTTCTTGCTCCCCTTCACATCAAAACTTCTCAAAAGCATAGTCTCTAGTCATTCATATCTGTGTGATCCAGTGTCACCACCCTGCCTGGCACTCCACTGAAATGTCTCTTTAAGGTTGCCAACGACCTCCATGCTAACAACCCAAAGGACACTCTTGAGTCTTCTTACTTAATCAGTCAGTAGCATTTGTTAAATTAAGTTTAGCCTAAAGGTGTCTCTTTACCTATTCTAAAGGTTTTTTCATAAACTTTCACATAGTAAACTGTAGACTGAATGGGTGTGTAAACAGACTGGAACCTACTCATGTGCCAATCACTGAGTTTCAGCCAATCAAAGGTGGCCAACTATTCAACCTCTGTTCAAATAAGGCAAATAAGCCTGTAACCAATACAGCTGCTTCTGTACCTCACTTCTGTTTTCTGTAGGTCACTTTCCTTTTTCTGCCAAAAAATCTTCCACCACATGGCTGCACTGGAGTTTCTCTGAACCTCTTCTGGTTTGGGTCCTGCCCAATTTGGGAATTGTTTTTTTTGCTCAACTAAACTCTGTTAAATTTAATTTGTCTAAGATTTTTAACATATTCTACAGTCAACCACTCAGTCCTTCTGTTAACACTGTTCTCTTTCCTGGTTTTCTTGGTGTCACTGCCTAATTTCCCTCCTACTTCTCTAGCCATACCTTGCTCTTCTTTTCTGGCTCCACTTTTAACTAGGGCTCCACTTGGGCCTTCTTTTCCACCTTTCCTTGTGAATCATCTCAGTATTTCCATTGTTTCAAATACGATCTTTTGAACTCCCAACTTGTATCTCTAGCTCAACCTGTCTTCTATATACGCGTGATAATGACGCCAGTGATCATGAGGATAATGACAATGATAAAGATGAAAAGGATGATAATATACCAGCAACTAATACCTTTACAGGAGTTACCATGTACCAGGCACCACGCTAAGCTCTTGACATGTCACAAACCATCCACTCTTCACAGTGACCCCATGAAATAGGTGTTATCGTCTTCACTTTGCAGATGAGGAAACTAAGGTACACAGAGGTTAAGTAACTTACCCAAAGTTAGACAGTTAGGAAATGAACCCAGAGAAAGAGTCAGATGGCAATGCTATATGAACACCTCCCCTTGAATACTTCACAGGCATCTCAAATAGTCATCCCATTTGAAACTCCTGAATTCTTTCTCTTTCGGTCTTCCCCATGCCAGTAAATGGTACCATCACCTACCCAGTTCCTCAAACAAGGACACTAGAGGGTCATCTCACTTCTTCTTTCTCTCTCATTCCCACATTCCATCCATCAGTAGGCTGTCCCATTTCTCAATATGTCTTGAAGCCACTCAGTCCTCTCTGATGCATTGTCTGGTTTGACCATCGGGGACTCTCGTCTGGCCTAGAGCAGCAGCCTGTCCTCACTGCTTTTCCTGCTTCCACTCCTGTTTCCTCCTAAACTAGTCTCCATATGGCAACCACAGCAATCTTTTAAAACTTGAATCAGGCTACACTGCCCCCTTCTCTAAACTTTTTCAGTAGTGTCACATTTCACTGAATATTTGAATTTCTCATAATGGCCTCCAAAATCCTACATCACCCAGTTCCCACCTACCTGCCTCATCTCGTCTCACTCCACCCTCACTCAAGCCACTCTACTCACAGCCCTTGCTGTTGTTACTGTGGTCCCTCCGCATGGAAAGTGATTCATCAACCTCTGTGCATGGCCAATTCCTCTTGACCCTTTGCGTTCTGGTTTCCTTATTCTTTCTACTTCATTATTCTTCAGCATGCGTGTTTATGTTCATAATTGCACTCACCGTAAGTTGTAATTATATAGTTATTTGACTACTTGCTTGTTTGCTGTTTCCGATCCCTTTCCCTAAACTACAGGGGGCCATGAGCTGCCTAAGGGCAGAAGGCAAGTGTGTTTTACACTTTTAGGTCATTATGGCCTAGACTATGCCTGACAAAAGGTAAGTATATGAATAACTATTTTCCTTGGCTGAATATCTGGAAACATTTTTATGCTTACTGTACTTTAGGGGGAAGGTATATAATTAGCAGGACTAGTTCTCAAATGAGGGCTAGACTCGGGATGTTCAGGGGTCATTTTCCTGATGAATTCAAGATTAAATCTTACCCCTGGGATGCTGTCATTTTCTCCCTCCCCAGCTGCAATAACACAATAAATGATAATATTTAGAGGACACTGGCCAAATGGGTAGTGGTTAACACTGGCCCTGACTAATGAGTAATTTAAATGTCCTTTTAAATTTAATATTGTGTATGTGTCAAGTTCTGGTCACCCAGCACAGACTCGTATCCTAAGCAATTTAGAAGGGGAATTATAGGTTACTTTATTCTCTTGTGGTTCTCACATTTCCAAAATTTCATAAATAACAGCTGCTACCTCTTGAGAGTGATGAAAGAAAGGGGACTCTGACCTTCTTGACGCTATTTGCAACAGCTTCCTTGTGACCCAAGTCATCAGCAGAAAGTTCATTTCCAAATTTGAATTCGGGGTGAGCTTCCTCCTCTTGGTCAGCTGTGTGAAAGACAAATGGAAAATCCATGACACCAAACCACTGCCAAGTAGTCAGACCTTGTTCACAATCTTGGGTAGAACATAAGCACTTTTAGAGAAAAAGGATGCTAAAAGAAAATGGGGACATTGATATATGCAGTATTTTTTCAAGTAAAACTCTCACTAAACTCTTACCTATTCAACGTCAAGGAGCACATCTTGTTATGTATTATTTCTCCTGCTCCTAAAATGTGGTTTGAAATGCTTGATGCTTAATAAATTTTTTTTAAGTGGATGGCTACTTCTATTCTAGTATACTAATTCTAAAAATGAAAGCCTCAAACACTGCAGGAATATCTATAACTCATAAAAAGGTGTTTTGATCTTTCATGACATCAAGAGCAAATAAGAAGATGCAAGAAAACAAATACATCGGATAATTTTGAAAGAGACTAAAATGTCCACTTGAATTTTATGGGCATAATGACTTATAGCTTGGAGTGGTAGAAAAAAGAAAGGCCTCAGAAGGATTGTGCTACTCCTGCAAACTATTTGTCAAACCTAGCATAGGTTTCAAAGGCTCAGGGCTCATTTGTCAGGCTCAGGTAGGAGGAGAAGTGGAAGTGGGTGCCAAATAAAGCTGGTGTCCCTGGAGCGTGGTCTAGTCTGTGAAAGGAAGTACACACACTGTGTTCATTGGTCCAGGAAAGTGACAAGAATGCCAGAATCCACCCAGGATGTTCGTGGGGAAAAAAAAGAAGTACCTGCTGGAAAATGTGCAACATGCTGAGGTGAGATTTGGATTCACACAATCACTATTTGCAGTAATTCCCAGATAAAGAATTTGCCTAAAATCTAGCCAGGATCAGGAGAAACCCACAGACATCAGGATGAGGACAATATAAATCCACATGGTCACACCACAGGGCATGAGGGAACGTTACTGTAAAAACAAAACAAAAAAACCCACTAAAATAATTTCTGAGAAATTCAGAAAGGAAATGAGTAGACCCATAAGAATGAGATAGATTTTTTTAAAGCATGTTTAAAAGTACAAAGGAGAATGAAAGAACAGGAGTAAATGAAAAATGATTTCACTGATTCTAAGATGTACTTTTTTTGATTTAATATTTCTGATATTGCAGTGTGTTCTTCAACTGACGGTTTTTTCCAGTGAATGGAAACTACTTTTTCTTTCTTAGTCATAATAAAACAGTGGTATCTTTCAACTGGTAGTATCTGGATTCAGAATTTCTAGATAGACTGTTTTATTTTGTGAAGTATCTCTCCAGGCACAGGAGGAGGGTGAGGGAAAGAAACAGCCACCTTCCTCTTCTGGAGCTAACAATTCTGATGAAGGGATATTCTAGAGGCAGACGATTAAAAAAACAAAATCCAAACAACAACAACAACAACAAGTGGGTAATTGTAAGGCTTAGGCAGGAAGAAAAGGATTTGAGGAAATGGAATACATCTTAAAATAATCTAATCCAGCATCTGTCTTTACTTATAAACGAGGAACTAGATGCAGAGATATGATTTGACTTGTCTGAAATCACACAGCAAGATAATGGATCTACCTGTCTCTTGAATTCTTAACATAGTTCTTCCAGGACTAGGTTTCCATGACCTACAGTCAGTAACCAAGATTTCAAAACTTCTCATGTCACTATTAAATTTTCATTTAATTTATTAATTTCATTTCATTTAATTTAATTTATGTCTAAACTGCCAATACAGATGTAAACCACTTGAAGGCAAGGGGCATACCCCAAACAAGTGGTGGAGACTTACTAACCACCTTAAGAGAATTGTATGAATACATGATCACTTTCTGAGTGTGCAGATATGCACAGACACACCTATAACCACATACAATTTTGATATTCTCCACTACTTGTCTCCTATCCTGGGAGCCACATGTCCTTCTGAATCTAAATCCAGCCTAATGCCTGGGCACCTGCTTTCACTGACTGAAAGCCTTTTCTATTTTCTACAGCCTCCAGGCAGGCCTCCCCTATTGAACTATGCTTGGTTTCCCCTTGCCTGCTGTGTTGATGTATTTAAATTAGAGACTCTAGCCACACATAGATAGTAGATTCATACAGTGGCACTAAGGTAATTATAGCCGACTAGTTGACCAGAACCAAAGCCAAGTATTACTGAGGCAACCTAAGAATCACACACATAACAGGTGAAACAGGAGCCTTGTGCCATCTAGGTGGATGATTCTGTCCTTAGGTACTTTCCTACGTGGATACTAAATCATGTGGTTATTTCTGTTAAGACTTAACCCAAATCTCAAGTATATTTTGGAATAACATGGGAGTCACTAGAGGCAAATATTTTTCTGCCTGGAGGAATAATTACCATATGGATGTAGATGGTGGGAAAGCACCTTTAAGAATAATACATGAAGCCATACAGATGCTAATTTCAGATGACTGTGTGTGTTTAGGAAACATCACATCTTTGACTTTCATTCGTTCTATTCTTTCTCCTTTTTAAAAAAGTATTTTTGCATATCTATGTTTTCACCATATTCCTGTGAATTGAAAGGGCAGTACTGTAACGTACAAAAGTCTTGACTTGAATCAGGTAGCTCTGGGATTGAATCTTAGTGCAATCGGTTGCCCGCTGTGGGATCATGTGCAAAATATGTTACCTCTCTAAGCTTCAGTCCTCTCATCTGAAAAATTGGTGTAATAATACCCATTTCAGAGGCAGAGCTTGCAGTGAGCCGAGATCGCGCCACTGCACTCCAGCCTGGGTGACAGAGCAAGACTCCATCTCAAAAATAATAATAATAATAATAATAATACCCATTTCATCAGGCTGTATACAGGTTAGATAAGGCCATAATGTAAGCTGCCTGGTCCACTGTTGGTACAACGATGGTAGTAATTATTATTAACATTGTTTTCTTGTTAATTTATTCCATTATTTCTGCAGTTTGTTTTACTGGATTATCGTATCAGTAATGCCTTACATATTTTAATTACCATCTATGAAATTTAACTTAAAGGAACTGGTTTTACTGAATAGTCATCTTTTTTGTATCTTAGGAGTATTTTCTTGACCATTTGAAACACAGTTCTATAAATATATTTTTCTTAAATCTTGTTTAGATTTATTATTTGCAAAAACATGTGAAAAAATATAGTAGGCATCACGGCTGACTATATTTTCCAAAGACAGCTGCCGTATCATCTGCCCTCCTCTGTGCTCTTATGCAACGTGACCTTGTCACTCACTCACCCTCTTGAACTTGGATGGGCCCTGAGACTGCTTCGATGAATAAAACATAGAGGAAGTGATACTGCACCAGTTCCAGGCCTAGCTCTTAACTAATTTAGCAGCTTCTGCTTCCTGCCTCTTGAGACACTGGCTCTTAGATGTTCCATCTGGGGGACTTAGCCATCGTGCTATGAGAAGCCCAAGTCACAGAGAGAGGCCACAGGGATACTATGGTCAGTGAGGCCCAGCGGAGCTCCCAGCGTTCAGCCAGCATCCACTGCCAGCATGTGAGTAAGCCGTCCGGGATAACCCACCCAAGGGAACCAGTCAGCCCCAGATGTCATCTGCTGACAAAAGCAGGAGAAACCCAAGGGAGAACCACCAACCTAAGCCCACATGACCCACAGAATTATGACAGAAAATGATAAGGTGTTGTTATAAGCCCCTAAATTTGGGGATGGTTTATTGCATAGTAACAGATGACCATAATAACGAGTATCAACTGAGTAGTATCAGATATCTTTAGCCTCTTAGACCCTCCCTGCCACATAAAACAAATGAAAGTACAGTCATTATGACTTTTCTCTGGGAGTAATGTCAAACCCAAGGACTGGACATGCAACTGAATCACTTATAAAGTCTGTTCCACAGTCAGGAGTCTTTATTAAGGAGTCTTGAATAAGGTTAGTTAATTCTTCCAACTTTTGGATTTTTAGCTCTATGTCTAGCTTTCCTAAAAGAGAATGTCCTCTGATGGATCTGGGCAAAGTAAACTGAAAAGCTTCTGATGTTCACCATTCTAGATGCTATTAAGAAAGAACATTCATGATTTATGGGAAGAGGTAAAAATATCAACGTTCATAGGAGTTTGGGAGACTCCCATGGATGACGCTGAGAGGTTCAAGACTTCAGTGGAGGAAGTCACTGCAGAGGTGGTAGAAAGAGTAAGAGAACTAGAATTTGAAAAGGAGCCTGAACATGGGGCTGAATTGCTGCAATTTCATGATAAAACTTAAACCGATGAGGAGTTGTTTCTTGTGAATGAGCAAAGAAGGTGGTTTCTTGAGATGGAATCTACTCCAGGTAAAGATACTGTGAGCATTGTTGAAATGACAACACAGGATTTAAAATATTACATAAACCTAGTTGAGAAGGCATCACAGCAGGGTTTGAGAGGATTGGCTTCAATTTTGAAAGAAGCTCTGCTCTGGGTAAAGTGTCATCAAATGGCACTGCATGCTACAGAGAAATCTTTTGTGAAAAGAAGGGTCAATTGATGCAGCAAACTTCATTGTTGTCTTATTTTAAAAAATTACCACAGCCAACCCAATCTTTGGCAACTGCCTCCCTGATCACTCAAGGCAAGACCCTCCACAAAAAGATTTCAATATGATGCAGGTTTAGATAATTGTCAGCATTTTTAAGCAATAGGTATTTTTTAATTAAGTTACATTTTTGGACATAATGCTGTTATTGAACACTTACTAGCCTACAGTACAGTGTAAATAATTTCTGTATGCATTGGGAAACAAAAATTCTTGTGAATAATTTTTTTGCAATATTTACTTCATTGTAGTGGTCTAGAACTGAATCTGCAATATTTCCAAGGTATGCCTGTATATAAATCCAAGGCATTGTATAACCAACACAAGTCCTTGTCATTTCGTTCATCAATTCTCATGAAACATAACAAACAAATAATTCTCTAAAATCATCCCCAAACTCTCAAATGACCCATTTACAACTGAACATTATGATTGTTGCTATGTGATCAAAGTAAAAGAGAAGGTAATAGCACATACTCAAATATTTTAAGCAAGACTGCCTTCTTAAAATTATCTAGCTACACAGAGATAATTCTGGTGAGCTGGTTATTTGAAGGAATTTGAACTTGAAATTTTAATACTGGCTTTTAGTTTCTAGTTCACTTTGTGGAGACAAACCAATCATTTGCCTGAGGGTCTCTTAAATTATTTGCCTCTCTACTCTCATCATTAACAGACTCAAGTTCATGTTTTTGTCTATACAAAGGGATTACAAAATGTGCCTTATATTGCTTCCTCTGCCTACTACAGCAAGTGCTTCAGGGATTCTCTGGCTAAGAATTTCTGCTGAATAGCTGAATGGCCAATAGGAAGGGAGATGACAAGGCCATTAAAATTTAGTAGCCAGAAAAAATGGGAAGTGTTTGGCAAAATACCAAGAATACCAAAATATTACTATGAGGAATTAAAACGGCATTATTATATAAAAGGGTCTTCTGAAAGAAATTCCTGGTTTTCTTACTCATTTATTTTTGAAACAAGGCCTCAGTCTGTTGTCCAGCCTGGAGTGCAGTGGTAGGATTACATATAGCTCACTGCAGCCTTGAACCTCTGGGCTCAAGGGATCCTACTGCCTCAGCCTCCCCAGTAGCTGGGACTACAGACACAGGCCACCACGTCTGGCTAATATTTTATTTTTTGTAGACATGGGGTCTCATCTCTACGAAAATGTTGCCCAGGCTGGTCTTGAACTCCTGGGCTCAAGCAATCCTCCCACCTTGGCCTCCCCAAGTGCTGGGATTATGGGCTTGAGCCACTGTGCCCAGCCTGGTTTTCTTATTTAAAAAGTATTTTCAAAGCATGTAACTTAAAATAAAAGCAAACAGCTCACCACTTTCGATCTCCTCTTCATTATCGTCCTCTAAGATGTTTGCTGGGGAGGCAGATTCTCCAGCTTCCATCATGCTTCTCAAAGCTTCCAGCTGTTCTGTTAGCAAAAACACGCAAAGAGATGGTGACAGATGCTAGGTAACATACAAACCCTAGGCCTTGAGATCGACACTGAGGAGGACGTGAAAAGAGAGAAGAAATAGAATGTTCAGGCACCAAGGCACCATGTTTCTAAGGTTCAGCAGTGATCTCTCTCTCGCCATTTCCTGGTGGTCTCGACCTTGTAAGAAACCTGCAACAACCACCTTATATACACATGATGAAGAATTGCGGGGACATGGGTGAAATGCCCAAAATTCTGGTCACCAAGTTTGAGAGGAGGTTCAGTCCTCGTGAAGGATTTAAGGCTAGATAACAAAAGCCCATAATTTGGAGAATCTGGCACAGACCAAGGTTTACGAACAGTTATGGGGAACTGATAGAAAATAGGCAGGTTGGCAACAAAACTTCAGGAAAAAATATTTGCAACTGATTTAATGGGGATTATATCCTACTATACAAAATAAGACTAAATAATTTTTCTATAAGTCAGAAAGATAAAGGTAAACAAAATAATAAAAATGGGAAAACACATAGGGACAAACCACAAATAGTAATATGCAAAAAAGGAGTTATTGAAGACACACAAATAAAAAAACCCCTAAGGTACCAATTTTTTTCTATGAGTTGGACACACATTTAAAAATGGCCAACAGCCAGCATTAAGGATATTGGTGGGAAACAGGCACTCTCATATATGACTGGTGAAGAGTCTAAGGTGGTAGAACTTTCCTAAAAGAAAGCATAACAAACTATATCACAATATAAAATATATATACGTTTTGGCTGAATAACTCTAATTGCACCAATTGATTTCAAGGAGAGGGTTGCACAAACATACAAAATAACATTCAAGCATGTTTATAGTAGTGAAAATCCATCAACTTGGGACTCGTTACATCATGCTATAATAAATGCATACAATTCTATGTCATATATATTAAATTCTATATAGTGTTTCATACATTAGGATTAAAGTTAGTATGTAGATGTATATCCTGCTGATGTAAGTATACTTACTTGGTTAAATTTTAAAAATTTAAACTCAGTATCATTAATATGATCTCAGTCATGTTAAAAATGTGGGTATATATCTACACATGTACATTACGTACATGTGTCTATAGTATATGAATACGTGTATAATATATGTTAGTGCTGTTACTTTCTTACACTTTTCATTGTCTTGATTTTTCTATGGCATTATTGCTTTTGTAATAAAATAAACTGTCATTAACATAATTTAAAATTTTTCATTTAGAATACTTGGGGGGAAAATGAAGTGTAATCATGCCAATATTTGATACCATTAATTCACTGAACTAGGATATACTCTGAAAGAAAATATTTTCAAGGAAATCATCCTGGGAGAATAAAAGGAAACATGTTTATATAAAATCATTTGTCTCTAGATCTCTCTATTCACATATACACAGTCACACACTCATATGTACCTAGTATCCCTAGATAGGTATAGAGCACGGGGCAAACTGAAAAGGGAAACTTATGAGGACTTTAGAGTGTATAAAATTATAAAATGCTGGTTCCTTATATCTTGAGAAATTCTAAAATGCTTCTACTTTCCTCTCAATTTTCCTTGGGCCCTCTCCAAATTCTGGCATTTGAATATATAGATATGCTTTTCCTACTGCATGAATTAATTGATATGGAAATTAAATTTAAATGGAAATGTGGCAATCTTGCTCTGAAAAGTACCTGTAACATCACCCCTACACCCTTCCCCCAAAAATCAGTGGTTTTAAAATAAATTGAATTCTCAACAGCTGAAATGTCCACACATGTTATGTATGCTTCCATTATAAATGTGTGTGTTTCACTTACTTTTTTCAACTTCAGGTTTCAGCCGCTTGTTTTTTATGAGTATTTTTCTTTTGAGGTCATTGGGGGATGGCAAAGCCCTGCCTGGTTCAAGCTAGAGAGAAACAGAAAGAGCTGAATTAAGGAAGGGCTGTGCTTCTCCATTCTCCTTCCCAGTCCAGGAGGAGCCTGGGAGGCCTGGGAGTGATGCAACCCAACACCCACTAGATGGCAGGCGGCACAGCCTTCTGTTTTCACTCCCCAACCCAAATTAGCACACCCATTGAGCTTTTCCTTAGACTAGTGCTGCAAACTTGAAATCCACATAGTTTCCAGAGGTGTGCAGAGCTGCTCCAACCTCCCCAGTGGAGCAGGGGTCTGGCCTGGGATGTGCCGGGGAGGGGTTCCTGCTCCCCAGAGGGCCTTGCACCTTTTAAGTATCTGGTAAAGTGCAAGGGACAATTGTGATGGCTGGGTTCAGAATTAGCTTTCCCAAGTGAGAGGCCCCCCAGATCCCCCCAAGTGTCAGGCTGTATAGTAAGCCTGTCTGCTGAGTAGGCTGACCCAACCCTCAACACTTGAGATTGTGGTTTTGTGGTTTTGTAGGTTTGATAAGGGAATCAAGAAGGGAGTTGTTCCAATTCCTGGAATCTGAACTTGACTACAGCATCATTTGCTTAGATTTATATCTGCAAAGGAGGTGCCCCTGTATGCTATCACCTCTGGTCTACAGAACCGTCCTGTATCTAGTCTTCCATTCCCCATTCCTCCACCCATCTCTCTATATGCCCACCCACCCACCCCTCCACCCATCCATTCATTTTCAAAACTTGCTTTTATACTACTTATTATATGTAAGGCACTGTGCACTCATATGTCTGTCTTGCCTCAAATAAAACCCTTTGTTGAAATGCTGTTTCCTTCCAGCAGCGTGGTATAACTGGCCCATTCCCCAGTGATCTCTCTTGTACCAGGACACCTCCAACAAATAAAGCACCATACGCCATCTTCTTTTCTAGTTATGTGTTCACATTTGTGTCCTGCTCCCACTCCCAAGGTTGAAAGCTCTTTAGCTTTTGGAGCAGGTCTTATTCCCATTTATATTACCCATGCTTCCCCAGACACCTGTCCTGTATTCAAAGGAGAATAGGGTCTTGAGGCAGGGAATATAAGGCCTATTCATGCTGACTTCCTAGAACTAAATCAAATGGAAACACTTCAGCTATGACAGGAAATATCCTCTCCATTTACAAAGGATGTACACCAAGTAAATGACTTTATAACTTTACTTCATCCTATTCATTTACATAGACCGGACACCAAGTAACCAATGGAAACCTCTAGAGGGTATTTAAACCCCAGAAAATTCTGTAACAGGGCTCTTGAGCCCCTCTGCTCAGGCTGCTCCCACCCTGTGGAGTGTACTTTCATTTTCAATAAATCTCTGCTTTTGTTGCTTCATTCTTCCCTTGCTTTGTTTGTGCATTTTGTCCGATTCTTTGTTCAAGATGCCAAGAACCTGGACACCCTTCAGCTGGTAAAAGTATGTGCACATCACTTCACTAAGAATACAGTGAACTTTCCACAAAAGCAATCACCTTAACCTAATCAGAAAGATAAATGGAGGGCCTAGGTAAAAACAAATAAAATAAATCAGAGCTGTTTCTTAGTTTGGGTTCCCTTAAAATCAGCCTCAGAGAAAAGTAGTATTGCACCAGGTCGTCTACTTGGAAGGAAACTCCAACAGAGGTGTGGGAAAGTGAGAAAAAGAAGACAGGCAGCTCATCAAGGGTGTGTTATCACTGCAGCCAGCTGGAGCACGATCCTGCTGGGAAACCCTGGAAGGCAGAGAAGAGCAGGTGCTCAGGGTTATCCCACCTCGGGAGGGATGAAGCATGGGATAGGGGTGATAATTCCCTGGCACTGCTGGTCTTTCATGTGTGGCAGAGCAGGCTCCAGTGACCAGAGCTCACTCTCAGGCAAAAAGCTGTGGATGTTGGCAGTGGAAAGTCAGGCCAGTGTTCAGGGAAACAGGAGGCACTGCAAGGATATGGGCAGGTCACCTGCAGCAACTGCTTCTGCAAGTTCGAGGGAAGAAGGAAGGGGGACAAAGGATACAGATATCCTTGTCTCTCATATTTTTTTTCAGTTCCCATAGACACACTTCTGAAAAGAACCTCATAAAGTGTTTACATGTAGCACAAAGCACCTTCCTGCTGTCATTTGCTGTGATGTTCTTCTGCCACTACCTCATGCTACCAGGTTTGAGCCCATCAGGTGCTGCTGTCAATAGCAGGTCTTTCCACTTTGATTTCATTAGCTGCCTTGGAGCTCATAACATCTTGTGATTGTGGATC
Source organism: Homo sapiens (assembly GCF_000001405.40). Lineage (NCBI taxonomy): Eukaryota > Metazoa > Chordata > Mammalia > Primates > Hominidae > Homo > Homo sapiens. Next base: position 9,391,345 of record NC_000020.11, on the reverse strand, counting down.
TTAATCTCTTGGAGGTCATGGATCCTTATAAAAATGTGATTAACTCTCTAGAATGAGTATATACAAAAAAATTGCATGCAATTAGAATGAATTCACAGATCTCATAAAGCCTATCTATGGAGCACAGGTTAATGTTCTTTGCTTTATGAAGAAATTAGCAGGTTTAACATGAAGTTCAAAAATGTATGTGCAACATTACTCAGTGATTTATTTTGGAGTTAGGAACATGAACTTCAGGATGTCGTGACATCAATCCAGGGCACTTTCCACAGCATGAGCCTCCCATGGGTTCTGAATACCGGGTGCATATACAGTTCACCTGGAGGGCTTTTAAAACACCATGCTCAGGGCTGACCCTGCATCAATTAAATCAGTCTCCAAGTGGGGCCCTGGCACAGGTGTTTTTAACAGTTTTGTAGGTGATTCTAACATGTAACTGAATTTGAGAACAACTGACCTGAATCTGGACTCTTGGCCTGGGTGCTTTATGAAACTTTAAGACTGAGATCTGAAAACCATAAGACCCAAAGATCCTCCAAATGAAATTGAACCAGATGTTTATTTTGTGTCTCTTTACATCCCTCTGAAGCATGATGTAAGCTTTCCGTACCAAAGAATTTAAATAAATATGAAGATCTTTAGCATTAGTCCTCTAGTACTACTTGACCCTTCAGAAATTTTCAAAACAAATCCATTCATGCTAGAAATATGGTTTGTTAAAAATACATACTGGATGTGATTCAAGTGCTTGTTTCAACAGGAGATCCCCAAATAGATCTTCGCAATATTTGGACATCTTGTACTGTTGATATTTGCTGGAGAGAAAAAAGTGGCATTTGTAAATTCAAACACCCATTAACCGTCCAAGAATAAGAAACACCCATTACTAGGCAATTAAAGATTCTCACTTGGCAAAATGCATTATTGTCCTCTTAATGCTAATGTGAGATGTATCAAAAACTTTAACTGGTATAATTTTAAAAGAAGGAGAAGGAGATTCTGTTCCAAAACTAAGAGCTGGAAAGAAGAATAAAAAATGTCTTTCAAGTTCATCAAATCTGATTTCAAATATACTGTCAAATCTTCCAGCTCAATGGAACTTTAAGTAAGGTGTCCCAATCTCTGAACTTTTATTTGGAACAAGTATTTCTGAAACACATTAAAATGATTTGGTTTGGGGGGACAAGGGTGGTTTTTTGTCGTTTTTTCCTTTTTTTGTTGTTTTTTGCTTTGCATAAGAGTAGGTGCCCTTGCTGGAGAATTATTTGAACTTAGTACTTCACAAAACAAACTATTCAGCTATTTAAAAAGTTGTAGAGCAGGAGTGGGCATTAGGGGTTAGGAAACAATACCACATAGAGACTTGTGGCAGAATGGATCATTATACCTGCAGTGATTTTCAAAGGAGAGAATTACAGGATATTCTGATGTGACAAATGCAGTTTCCTTGATGGCTTGAATTACATCCTTTAAAAACAAAAAAAAACGTTAATGAGAGAAAAGAGCAAAAAAATTAAGGCACCCAAAACTATTCAGAGACTATTAATTGAGTCTTTCAGAAAGTCAATTCCAGCAATTCAGACCTGGAGCCCCCATCTACCTTGACACCTCTAAAGGTTGAGTTCCCTGTGGTTATAGCCAGGGTGCAGTTAATGGTTAATGACAATTTTTTAAGCTATCTTTTACTTCTCCAGAATTATGGTGCTATTAACTTACAAGAGATTTCACCTAAATGGCATGCCAGTCTGTGGCTTGTTAATCTGCCAGGCCAGGAGTTCAGAGTCCACCTTTCTTCTTGAGGAGCAGGTGATCTCTGGCACAGAGGTTTTCACTCCCGACCACTGTATGACTCCTCCCCACCTCATGCAGAAAAGTGTGGGTAGTAACCTCAGGACTGCTGGAGGCTTTCACTGACTTTCCTCTGTGTTTGGAAATCAGTCTTGGGCTATACTTCATTAACTTGATGTAGACCTCTGTGTACTAAAGTGACATTTGCAGTATCCCTTGTTTCCTATTAGCCTGGTTACAAGGCCGGGGGAAGGGGTTCTCGTTGGTCAAGCAACATGTAAGTGAAACATAGAAGTGTTCTTGACCCCCCATCTGTAACACAGAACTTAATTACAGAAAACAACATTTGAAGGAGCTAAACATAATCTTCCCTTTCACTATTCTCCATGAAATAGGAGAGGCTTTAAGAGATGGTTGGCCCCGTCTCTGCTTAGCTTTAGAAAGAAAGGCTTCAAACCAGCACTTCTACAACCGGAGCATCATATTTGGTAAAAATCCCCAAATTCTTACTGGTTTGTAGCTAATCACAGGGCAAATCTCATCATTCAGTTAATCAGAAAAATATTTCACAATAGTTATCTAGGCAAATCCATTTGACATGATAAAGCCCAAGGTTAGATAATCTTGAAATATTTTATTGAGGCATTCCTTGTGGCTGAGGTAGTCATTTAGTTATTCTTCCTGGCTATGCAAATTCATGGCTTCCCACTTGAATATACTCTTGGTACATATCAAGAAGTATTATCTTGAATTCATTGCTGGTCAAAACTCTCCAATATCTTGGCTAAGAGAAATACTATGCATAGCATCTAGACATCTGCGTGTGTGTGTATGTGTGTTTTTTTTGAGACAGAGTCTCGCTCTGTTGCTGAGGCTGGAGAGCAATGGCATGATCTGGTTTCACTGCAACCTCTGCCTCCTGTGTTCAAGCAATTCTCCTGACTCTGCCTCAGCTGGGATTACAGGTGCATGCCACCACACCAGCTAATTTTTGTATTTTTAGTACAGACAGGGTTTCACCATGTTGGCCAGGCTGATCTTGAACTCCTGACGTCAAGTGATCCACCTGCCTCCACCTCCCAAAGTGTTGGGATTATAGGCATGAGCCACCACGCCCAGCAGCACCTATGTTTTTGAAAATACCCATGGTGATGTTTCACATGTAGGTGGAGTTGAGAACCGCTGCTCCTGGTGTTGTAATATCTATCCTGAGTTATACCAAACCGACAGACAGCTGCAGCTGACATTTGCAAACCACAGAATTTCATTCTTTTGATTTGTCTAACCTCATTATCTTATTATTTACTTATTTATTTATTGAGATGGAGTTTCACTCTTGTTGTCCAGGCTAGAATGCAACAGTGTAATCTCGGCTCACTGCAACCTCCACCTCTCGGGTTCAAGCCATTCTCCTGCCTCAGCCTCCTGAGTAGCTGAGATTACAGGCATGTGCCACCATGCCCAGCTAATTTTGCATTTTTGGTAGAGACAGGGTTTCCCCATGTTGGTCAGGCTGGTCTCCAACTCCTGATCTCAGGTGATCTCCCTGCCTCGGCTTCCCAAAGTGCTGGGATTACAGGCGTGAGCCACCACGCCCGGCCTTTCTTATTCTTGTAGGCCCTATTTACAATCTATTTTATTCCTGTATTCTATTTATCTTTTTATGCCACCTTGAAGTCCTTTAGGAATAATGTAAAGTAAATAAGCAAATAAGTAGATAACAAAAGGAGACACTGTTTCTAAGGTAAGTAAAACTAGGTAAACTCTGCCAGAGAAACCTTGTTATGTAACACAGTCACCATTTGAAAGCAAGAACAGTATCATGAAGGGGACGTTCAGTGGAAAAGATCTTTGTCTTGACTTTTTCCTCAAGACTGGAAGAAGGGAATATGAAGGCATAATGCTTGAGAAAATGAATCATTTGTTTTCTCTTCTCCATCTCCCTATTTCCTGCATTTTCACAGAGTTTGGAAAAGTCTGTGTAATTATTTTTAAAGTTACCTTAAAAAGGATATCTGTACACATTGCTTTTCCATGAGTTATTATTGGTTCTTGGTCTTCACCTTTTCCATCCCAGCAGTCAAGTTCAACACATCTAGGGATATAGTGAAGTTACAATATTGAAACTTTACAATGAAATAGTGTTCATACAAATTAAAAGAAAGACATCAAAATAAGTTGTTTTCTTCCAGAACAGAAAATTGAATAAATTAAGTAACCTGATTATTTCATGGCATATACAGGTTAAAACCACATTATATTCCTCATCTGGTTGGTATTATCAAAAGGGGATTGTCTGAGTGAGATTAAGAGACTTAAGAAATATAACAAGCATCATGGTTCTGGATGAAATCCTACTTGTGACAAAACGCAATAAAGGACAATTTGGGGGCCGGGCGTGGTGTGTCCTAGGAAGGCGGATCACTTGAGGTCAGGAGTTGGAGACCAGCCTGGCCAACATGGTGAAACCCCATCTCTACTAAAAATACAAAAATTAGCCAGGTGTGATGGCTACTTGGGAGGCTGTAATCCCAGCTACCTGGGAGGCTAAGGCATGAGAATTGCTTGAACCCAGGAGGGGAGGTTCCAGTGAGCTGACATCATGCCACTGCACTCCAGCCTGGGCAACAAAGTAAGACTCTGTCCCAATTAAAAAAAAAAAAAAGGACAATTTGGTTGGGGACAACTGGGGAAATATGAATGTGGGCTGGGTTTTAGATGACATGGGACTGTTGTGGGGTGGGGGGAGGGGGGAGGGATAGCATTAGGAGATATATCTAATGCTAAATGACGAGTTAATGGGTGCAGGACACCAACATGGCGCATGTATACATATATAACAAACCTGCACGTTGTGCATATGTACCCTAAAACTTAAAGTATAATAATAATAAAATAAAATAAATTAAAAAAATTACTTTTAATTTTGATAGGCTGGATAATGTTACTTTGGCCATTTCAGAAAATGTTTAGTGATTCATACTCAGGTATTCAGAGGAAGTTTGCAAATGGAAGTAGTAAGACAGTTAATTTCTTTTAACATATTTCCATATCCAAAAAAAAATGAATTAAAAAAATAAAGTATTGTTTAATTTATAACCAAGAAAAAAACATAATGTAACTACATTTCTTATTTTTCACTTTCATCATTTTTGCCATATTTTAAATCTCAAATATTTGCCAGTTTCTATAAAACAAAAACGATTTTAATAATTTCTACTCTCAGAGAACTAAATTTTTGAACTTTTACATCAAATAAAGCTAATTTACCCTCTCCCTCTCCCTCTCCCCCTCCCCCTCCCTCCTTTCTTCGGTCTCCCTCCGTTGCCGAGGCTGGACTATACTGCCGTGGTCTCGGCTCGCTGCAGCCTCCCTGCCCCGGACTTCCGTGGTTCTCCTGCCTCGGCCTGCCAAGTGCCTGGGATTGCGGGTGTGCGCCACCACGCCTGACTGGTTTTTCTATTTTTGGAGGAGATGGGGTATCGCCCTGTTGACGGGGCTGGTCTCCGGCTCCTGACCTCGAGTGGTCTGCCAGCCTCGGCCTCCCGGGGTGCTGGGATTGCAGACGGAGTCTCGCTCACTCAATGCTCAGTGTTGCCCAGGCTGGAGTGTAGTGGCGTGATCTCGGCTCGCCACAACCTCCACCTTCCAGCCGCCTGCCTTGGCCTCCCGAAGTGCTAAGATTACAGCCTCTGCCCGGCCGCCACCCCGTCTAGGAAGTGGGGAGCATCTCTGCCTGGCTGCCCATCGTCTGGGATGTGGGGAGCCCCTCTGCCCGGCTGCCCCGTCTGGGAAGCGAGGAGCACCTCTGCCCGGCCGCCCCGTCTGGGAAGCGAGGAGCGCCTCTGCCCGGCTGCCCCGTCTGGGAGGTGAGGAGCGCCTCTGCCCGGCCACCACCCCATCTGGGAGGTGAGGAGCGCCTCTGCCCGGCCGCCACCCCATCTGGGATGTGAGGAGCGCCTCTGCCAGCCGCCCCGTCTGAGAAGTGAGGAGAGCCTTTGCCCGGCCGCCACCCCGTCTGGGATGTGAGAAGCGCCTTTGCCCAGCCGCCACGACTGGGAAGTGAGGAGCGCCTCTGCCCAGCCGCCACCCCATCTGGGAGGTGAGGAGCGCCTCTGCCCGGCCGCCCCGTCTGGGAGGTGGGGAGCACCTCTGCCTGGCCGCCCATCATCTGGGAGGTGAGGAGCACCTCTGCCAGGCCGCCCCATCTGGGAAGTGTACCCAACAGCTCCAAAGAGACAGTGACCATCGAGAACGGGCCATGATGACGATGGCGGTTTTGTCGAAAAGAAAAGGGGGAAATGTGGGGAAAAGAAAGAGAGATCAGATTGTTACTGTGTCTGTGTAGTAAGAAGTTGACATAGGAGACACCATTTTGTTCTGTACTAAGAAAAATTCTTCTGCCTTGGGATGCTGTTAATCTATAATCTTACCCCCAACCCCGTGCTCTCTGAAACATGTGGTGTGTCAACTCAGGGTTAAATGGATTAAGGGCGGTACAAGATGTGCTTTGTTAAACAGATGCTAGAAGGCAGCATGCTAGTTAAGAGTCATCACCACTCCCTAATCTCAAGTACCCAGGGACACAAACACTGCCGAAGGCGGCAGGGACCTCTGCCTAGGAAAACCAGAGACCTTTGTTCACGTGTTTATCTGCTGACCTTCTCTCCACTATTATCCTATGACCCTGCCACATCCCCCTCTCTGAGAAACTGAGAAACACCCAAGAATGATCAATAAATACTAAAAAAAAAAAAAAAAAGCTAATTTACAAGTGCCTATAATCAATGGCCAGTTAGCTCAATTGGTTAGAGCATGGTGCTAGTAACAAGTACCTATAATCAACAAAAAACTCAACACGCCTTCTTACAATATGCATGTTTTCTTTTTTGTGGTTTTGGAGGCATATTTTAAATTTACAGTAAAGAAAAGTCTTTTCACAGTAAAGTCTTTTGGATGACTGAAGATTTTTCCGAAAGAGATACTGTCCTTCTTTTCTCAACGTTAAATGACCATGATAATCCATTAAAGGGAATAAACAAATTTCCTTTTCATCCTGATTACTATTTCCTGTTTTTCAGAGAAAAGTAAATTAAACTGAAGGGCATCACACACAAAAAACAAATTGCCATCTTGAGTTCCTCACCTGCAACCAGCCAGGAGAACCTGTCTGTACATTTCTACCGAAGACTTCCCGCCGAACTGTCTGCCAGTGAGATAAGTGTTATGGGAAGAACTGATGAAGTAGTGAGCCAGAGGATGGTCCATTTCTTGGTAAAGTTCTAAACGATCTAGGAAGACTGGGGCGTTTTCATCTGACATCAGATATCTGCAAAACCCATCACTTGATATAAGGCCTAGGGGAAAAAGAACATCTTAGTAGCACTTGTAGCTCTGAAGATGCATATCTCATGTTTTATTCATGGAAGCTGAGGCAGCTTAAATTATAAGAGTAAAAACGTCTTCACAGTCTCTTTCCCAAGAACTTTCATCTGTCAGAACTTGAATGAAATAAGAGAGTTGCACATTATAAGTAACATAATGAATTCCACAAACAGGTGGTATTCTGCTTTTACATCCATGATGGCAGATGTACATGGTCCCCCAAGTTCAGAAACACAGCACTGGGAGTTATGGTGACCAGGGGTCCAGGGGGCCTGTATCAAGTTCTGCTCTTGCTACTCACTCCTTTGGCTCCTAGATCTCAGCTTCTTCTTCTGTCAATTGGGGAAAAAGACTGGACCTATCTGACTTCCAAGATCTTCATAATGGGAAATGAGAATAGATACGAGAGGTGCTCTTTAAAAATGGAAAATGTATTAATTATAAGACATTGTTCTCACTGAATTGGAAAAGGGATTTTTCTTGGAGATGATGGTGCTTCTGAGTTTAAACAATTCAGTTTTCAATTTTATCTAAAAGTCAGGTTATGGGACTGGTGAGAAGAGTATACAGTGGTCATTGAAACGTGGCCCCAAAAGCCACCCTTCATTTCGATCACACCTTTCTGACATGGGGTAGAGCCCACGTGGTAACTACAGGAGCAACAATCAGTATTTATGCAACTTATAAATGGTTGATGCATCGACAGCTTCAAGTTTTTGTTTTATTTAAGAACTTGCAAGTTATGAACTGATTTCAAGCTAATACAGAAGTGTTCAGATGATAGCATAATGAATAGCCACGGGCCTACACCAGTGTGGTCAGATCTCAACATTTTGCCTTATTTGATTTACATTTTTGATTATTTGACTTACATGTAAAAGAATACATAATTTCTGATGCCACTGCAGCATCCTGTATACCCCACCTCAATTCCATTCCATACCAGATAGATAACTAGTATCCTAGTTTTGGTGTTTACCTCCAAAATGGTTCTGCAACCTTACTACATATGCATTTATCCAAACAACGGGTAGTTTGGGCTGTTTTTAATTTTATGTAAAAACTATCCCACTGTGTGCATTTGCAACTTGCTATTTTTATCTTTATATACCAGCTATGTAGGTAGATCTTGTTCATTTATTTTTCACTGAAGGTACAGAAGTCCATATATGAATATATCATAATTTATTATCCATTATTTGGTTGATGGATAGTTAGGTCATTTCTAATTATAAATGAAAGTAGAAATTTGTATACCTCTTTCCTTGGGCACCTTCATTCATTCTAAAGAGCAAGTACTTTTAGAGGCACCAGGATAGATGCAGTGATAGAAGAAACAGGTAAGCCCTGCCTTCATGAAACTCTCATATTATGAGTGACAGAAACAAATAAGTAAACAAATAAATATAATGTCAAAGAGGTACTAGAAGGACAGAGAAAGCAGGGAGGAAGGTGATGAAGCATGGCAGGATGCTGTGTTAAATATGGGCCAGTGAAAGCCCTTCTGAGGTCACGTACATGTGTGAGGAGCAAGCCACGTGCACACCCAGGAAACACCAGTCCAGGCAGAAGGATCATCAAGTGCAAAGACCTTGATGCAGATGTATGCGTGCCAACATCATTCAATGACAGCAAGACAGAGCAAGTGACCAAGGAAAAAGGTAGCTTGAAGTGAGATTGGAGATGGAGCCAAAGGCTACATCACTTGGGCTTTAGTCCTCACTAAGTATTTTAGATTTTATTCTAAATGTGTTGGGAAGCCTTTGGAGGGTTTCAAAGGGTGGAATAACATGATTAGATTTGGTTTTAAAAGGTTTACTCTGGCTGCTGTGTGGACCATAAATTGTAGGGCACTGAGTAGGAAGGAGAAGGCATTGCCTGGAGAGGGATGATGAAGGTTTGGATAGTCAGTAATGTTGGAGATGGTGAGAAGTGATTTATTTAGGATTTCTTTTGAGGCTGGATCTTACAGGTTTTGCAAATGAACCAGACATGATGTGAAAGAATGAAACAAGTCCAACATGAGCCCAGTGGTTTTGACTGGGTAAATAACGGTACTATTTTATAGGCTTTGAAAGGAACATATCTAGGGGTAGGAAGGATCGAAATATGTTGTATATATACATTGGAAATGCCCATTCAACATCCAGATGGAGAGTTCTACTACAAGTCTGTAGTGTAAGCTGGAGGTTAGGACTGGAGAGTTTAATAGAAGAAATGTAAAGCCATTGGCTTGGATGAGCTCAGGTACAGAGTGAATATAGGTGGAGCAGAGATCTGAGAACTGTGCCGCTCTGGTATCCAGAGTTTGGGAAATAGATGAGAGATTCTCTAGGGTACATACCTAGAAGTGAAAATGCTGGGCTGTATAAGAGGCATATTTTTCACTTTATAAACTATTGCCAAAATATTCCCCAAGATGGTTGTACCAATGTAGGGTCTTACCAGAAGTTTATAAGAATGGCTTTGTACTCCATTCTCACCCACACTTGAAAATGACAGACGTTAAAATTTCCATCACTTGTGAAATGGTCAAGCTACCCTTTTTAGATGTGTCAATGGTCACTTCATAGACCTTTAAAACTTAGAAGGAATTTGGAAATAAACAAGGACACACCTCAATCATGACATTTATCACACTGCCAAGGAATTGTTGAATCACTTGTCTTTCTCCTTGAACAGATCGCAACTGCCTTCAAGGCTGGGGACATTTCTTATTGTTTTGAATTCCTAGCATCTGGCACAGTGCTTGGCACCCGGTCAGCCCTCTACAAACTTCAAAGAATGAAGGTAGGGAAGGGAAATACTAGCCAAATTACTGCATGAGCCCCACCACCTTACAAGCAGGGAAACTGAGGCCCAGGAGGCCAGTTCCTAGCTCAAGGTCACAGGGAAGTGACAAGAATCATATCACCTCCTGCCAATGCGAAGTGTTAGATTTTCTACCAAGCTGTACCTCCCTTTGCTGTAATCATAAGCAATGTGAAATAAATTATGATATTCAGAATATTGACAGAGAGGGAAGGAATGAAGCATTCTTGCTTAAAATAGGTATCTTCAGCCATAGCAGAAAGTGTAAACTGTACAACTACAACTAAAGGGAAAACTATTGGGCTTGGAAAAATATCAGGGGTGAAATCATGGAGTGTAGAGGGCCAGGTATACCTAAAAAGAGGGTCCAGATAACATACAGACCATTCAACCACACTCACTGGCATTAGATACAAAGAAAAAAATAGATTTTAAAAAGGAGGAAACTGAGACCTTGAGATTCACGGACATACGGGACCTATGGAACTTGAACTTTCATCTCTTTACATTCTCCACTGAGACATAACGCCAAAGGCTCTAGCTCAGGTACCCCCAGCTCTCCCTCCCATGTTCCGCAGGCATTTCTCACTGCTGTGGGACTGATTTTAAAATTTCTCCCCATGCCTTTCCTTTGACAAATATTTGTGCGAACAACCCTTTGTTTCCAAAGCTTCTTTGAAAGGGACAAAGGTCCAGCAATTAGCTAAGGCGATTCCTGACTATTTAATTTCATATCAATTGTATTTATCTTTCATACCAGAGGTCAAATGAGGGTTACTGCACATCAAATCACGTATTAAATTTATTTGGCTTGGCAAAACAAAAGGGAGAAAAAGAAAAGGTATAAGTTTTTATATGACAAAAATTATTTTCAAGGATTGCAAGTAGAGACTGTATTGGTTGTTTTAATATTTCAAGCAATATGCAATACTAAAATCTAATACAAGAAAGTACATGGGGAAACATCACTATAATGTATTTAATAATACAATAAATGTAACAGTATACTTCAGTCAGGATTGACTAATTCTGATGAAAGGTAAAATTTATACGAACTTAAGAGCAGGAAAAAAAAATAGTCATCAATCCATGGCTCAGGGAGTTGCAAAGCATTTACAGATACCTTTAAATAAACCAAGGCTTTAAAAGTTGCATCTTTTCTTGTTTTTTTTTTTAAGTCCTTTTTTCATGTTTATTACCTTTTTTCTTCAAATCTTCATCAGGTTCATACATCTCAATGATCTGCATTGCCCTTTTGGCATCATAAAATGGAAATAAAATTTCATTCAATCGAGGATCTCGTTGATGCTATGATAAGAAAATAACTCCATTTAGGTTGATATTTCTTGGCCTTGAGGCATTAGACATTACTAAGTTTATAATTTATAAAACAAAATATATCTAGACTGTCATGTTTATAATTACAAAGATAGGACCTCACTGCCTTCCTGCCTTTCTCCTTAAAGTATACTTCAAAAAGTCCACATTTGGGAATACTTTTGGGTTACTCTCCCTGAACTAGAGAGAGAGAGAGAATACATTTTTTCCCCTTCAAAAGTTGAAGGATACATAATAAAGTGTGCATGTCAATTGTACTGTCTTCCAGTTCCCACACAACAGGGAAGACATTTGGCATGAATATCTATAAAACGTGAGGTCAAAATATTTTTAAAAAGCAAACACCAACCCCCCAAAATAGTTCAAATAGGTAATATACTAATTTAAGTGCACCCCTCAAAAACCCCAAAAGCAATAACAACAAAAAGCCTAATGTTACACAGGCAAACATCATCTCTTTTTCATAACACCTTTCTACATCAATCCATGATTTCTTGGGCACTCAACAAATTTCATTTTCTTGAGTAACTATTTTTTTCAAAACGAACCAATTGTAATGATGAAAATTAATCAGTACAAGCATATTTACAAGCTATAAACAATATAGAATTCTCTGGGCAGAGAGTCCATGAATGATTACGGGACTTAAGAGGTTGGTGACATTATTGTTTTCAAATTGACACCTAAGGAGCTCCTGCTATGACATGAGGCACCAGGAGCAATGCTGTCCCTGCAATGGTATCATCCTAACTTCATGGCAATGATGAAAAACCCAGTTTACTAACTTACTCAGCTCCAATAGTGTGTGTTTGTGTGTGTATGTGTGTTGGCAGTGGGTCCACTAAACTTCCTTTCTGTTCACTGAGGATTAGAGGACAGCACTGTGTCCCTGGTCAGCCCTTACAAAAATAATGAATAAGTGAATAAATAAAGCAAACCTCAATGGAAGTTTGGAATAATGACAGATAAGCAGGTGTGAGCAAAACCTGGTCAATAAATAGGACCTTGGTGACAACTCTTTACCCAAATATATGCACGGACTGAAAAACATTGTTGGAAAGGTATTTAAAAAGCAACTGTTAAAAGTTCATATGGATTTCCCTTCCCTATTTGCTTTGGAATGGGCATTGGAAAAGTGAGCTATACACAGAATGAATGCTTTTGGCCAACAGAGCACTTGGATGTCATTTCCTCATGCATATGGGGCCCAGCCTTTTCTGGGTCCCCTCCTCCCCCACCGAGTTAAGAGCATTAACTCATAAGGAATCAATATCAAATTTCATCAATTTATCCCAATGAAGCATGCTTCTGTTGTAATCTAAGAAATTATGGCTCACAACAGCTAACATTCATGCATATGCTACAACAGAAACTGTTATGTTAACAGCAGGCCTCGAGGCCACCAAGAACAAAAGTTATGGGATATGCAGGGAAGAGGATTGTGAGGTGGACCATGGAATGCCAGGCAAGTGAAGGCATGCTACACCTTGTTTAGGAAATTGATGCCATCGTGCAATGGAGCCCACTACTCAAGGAAACAAGGAGCTCCGTCTTTCTGGTGAGAATGCATTGTTTTAAAAACAAACAAACTGACAACAACAACAAACCCATCTTTCTAGGCACATCCCTTCTCACATCTCCATAAATAATATCATGGTAGAAGATGGATAAAGGATGAAAAAGGTCCTTTTTAGACCCCAGCACTGTTATGTTCATAGGTGGCCACTTTATTTATCTTCCTTATTAAAATTAAGTTTTTTAAATTTAAAAATATGTTTGTTGGTAAATATTTTGAACTCATGGAGATGATGAGGCAAATCCATATGAATTAAAAAATGAGAGAAAAAAGGGATTCAGCTACAGGAGAGAGAAGAGATAAAATTAGGAAAGGAGACAGAACTCAGACATTTTTGTGCATTTTAAAATATACATACATGTGTTTATTCTGACAAGGTACTACCTGAAGTGTGATCTGTGGATGGCAGCATCAGCCTCACCAACACCTGTCAACTTGCTAGAAATGCAGCTTCTCAGGTCCCTCCCTAGATCTACTGAATCTGCTGATCTCTGGGGTGGAACCTATTAATCTGTGTTTTTCATAAGACTTCTGAGTAATTCTGATGTGCTCAAGTATAAGAATCACTTTACCTAACATATAAAGGTATGCATTTTAACATATTTGCACATCAGTAAAAAGAAAAGTACCTAAGTCTCACAAGGATAGAAGCATGTTCAGTGTTTCAGATGTCCTCCCAATTAAACACTATTAAAATTTAGTCAGAGGGTATGACATTCATTAGACCATCCTGCCTATGGCAAAACAAAGCCAGGAAAACCAAGCCCTAAAATGGATGTATCATAATCCCCTATTCTGAAAATTACATTCGCAGCAAATAAGCATGAAGTGCAGACAATGCGAAATTGCATTTGTTTTTGCTTCTGCTCCCACTAGATAACAATCTTCAGCTCTCCCTAAAATCTTCATGCTTCAAAAAGGTAACACAAATCAATCTGGGTAATCCAAAGGCAAGGAAACAAATATAAGATTTGCATTAGAGTCAGAAAACTATCATTTTCATATGGAAAAACAAGAGGAGAAGGATCACTTCCAGCTGATCTCACAGTAATAAGGCTGCAGTAGAGTTCCACAGAGACACAAGCACAGTGAGGTGAATGTTTCACATCTCTGAGGAACCATCAGTTTTCAGCCAGGATTTGGGGAAACAAGTTACTCAGGTTATTCACCCCATGGTATCCAGTGCTTTGTAAAATGAGATTCTAAATGACTTCCAAAAATAGGTCACAGAACTGTGTCCAAGTAAGTAAGGAGGAGATGAAGAGAACTCCAGTATTACGTCCTTACTGGTGCTGAGAAGAGGCATCGTCTGGCTTCAATCCAAGTAGCACTGGGAGAGATGAATGTTGACATAAATAATATTTTAAAAATATAGAAGGAATAATTGGCAAGGATAAGCTTACTCATAAGACTAAATACCCTCCTTCTCTCTCTTTGCCTGTGCATTTAAAGCATAAAGATCTTGTAAAAGGAAAGAGATCATGGGTCCTTTTAAAATATTCTTTCATCTGCAAAAAGAAAAAAGTCAGGTTGAGCCCTGATGTGATCCTATGATATGTGTGAGGAAGGGGGAAGATTACCAGCAACAAGAAAGTAAAGCTACTCCTTGATTCCTGTGGCCACCTAAGGCCTTTTCCCTCTCTTCCTTGTTTTTATCCCTCTCTCCTGCCCTCCACCCATCTCCCAATTCTGCAGGACCCTAGTTATCATCTTTGTAAGAAGTCAAACAAAGAATGAAGGTAAAACTAAAAATCAATTTTGCTTCTCATTAGGAATAGGGAAAGGGAGGTAAAACTAACCAAAGCCAAGAGGTTTTATCTAGTCTTGCCACATACAAGCAATTGAGCCAGTAGTAGTGTCTCACCACGTGGCAGCTCACATTAAGTGCCTCTGCTATCCCTCCTGGACTCTAGTTTGCTATTTTCATATTATAGGCAAAGAAGATTTCCCTCAGTCCATTGGATGAGACTAAGAGACATAGATGTGGCAAAATTTTAGCTCTGAGTGGTGGATTCCTATGGCTAAATTCTTAATGGAGAATAACAGAAGGTATATGTCGCTCTCATATTCTTCCCACTCACACTAAACATTCCAAGGAGGAATCCAGTAATCCACTAGGATGGTGCTTTACAAACTTGAATGTGCAGATAAATCACCTGGAGATCTTGTTAAATTCAGACTCTGACTCAGCAGGTCTGGGTGGGACCCAAGACTGAGCATTTCTAATAAGCTCCCAAGGGGTGCCGATGCTGCTGGTCCATGGATCACACTTTGGGGAGCAACGAACAAGGAAATACTGAGAAGCCAATGAGGAGTCAGGTCTAAAGCTACTACTGAAAATCTAGTCAGTGTTGATTGCATGGATAGGGAGGAGGTCACCCTACAGGGTGACCAAAGCAGTAAATGGACTATATATATAGTCTCTCCTCTCCTTGCAGCCCCCTGAAGATACACATTAGTATATGAATAAAAACTTTCATAGAAAGAGTGAAAGGATTAACCAGCTGGAAGGTGGTAGGAACCAGCATGTCTTTTGCTAATATAAATGGGATTTATGTTTTCCTACTATCTATTCTACCTGGTTAATGGCAGTGTATGTGTGTCTCCAGGTTTTTGCTTTGCTCATTGTTTCTCTGGTTACCTTGCTGAACTCTCTAATTACTTCAAACAGTTTTTCCGTGGAATTGTTTATATCAGAGTAGACAATCAACATCTGCAAATGAGACTAGGACCTTGTCCTTTCCAGTGTTCATGGGACTTGTTTATTTTTTTGTCTCATTATATGAACCAGTGGAGTGGAAAAACTTGAAATATTTTCAAGTAAAATAAACATCGTATCATACTCAAAGGATTATTTAAAAGTAGAGGCATCTGTCTGATATGTGGGGTAGTACTTGCTCTTTCTTGCATCAGTGCATTTACACTTCAGTTAACAGAGTTTCTAAAGTGCAAGCTTTATAAATTTGAAGCCATTGAACCTTCACAAGGAACCTTCACAGGGGCTTCCAATGCAGTGTTGAATACTGGCTTGTTGAGACTATGTGGCTAAGGCATTTTGAAAATGTTTAGGTTTAAACTCTTGGAGTAATTGACCCTTACATTCCAATGCCCATTCTTTCTTGAGTGAGCTCTGTCTGTCTCCTTTTGTTATGAGTATTGAAGTTGTTCTGCCCAAGGGGTGTTTTTGATTTTGGAGAGATAAGAGGGGCCAGGGTAGGACTCAAAAGAGGGAGTGCAAGGAACAGGCAGAATGTTCTCTATGTTTGACAAGGCTTCTTCAAGCCGACATTCATGTTTTTGTCTAGTTCTTCCAGTTGAGTTCACTAGGATAGAAAAGGAATAAATTCAGGGCAGACACTTGGATTAAAAATAAAGGCTATAGACTTTCCTGAGTAGTCTTACAGTTCCTATGACCTAAAGAAATCTAGAATCACACCGATTCCATCAGTCACACCCCAAAATTTAAGGTACTTCCTTAATGTTAAGAAGACATCAAATAGAAGGAAACACTATTAAAAAAAAGAATACTATTGTCTACTGTAATTGTGAGGGATAAAAGGTTGACAAATAATAAATACTTAAAGAAAGAATCTGAATGGCAGAACAAGAAAGTATGGATGATGATATTTTTAAAAAATTAAATGTTATGTCTAAGAATTACAGGAGTGACTGTTGGGAGCACCAACAAAAACAACCCATAAAAGGAAATGCATTAGATAAGAGCCTATAAATACTGCACTTATCCTCAAGACCTAAGAGTTGCTTCATTCTTTAACAGTGAAATGCAGTATTAAGGTCTCTGTAATGTTTAAGAGAGGGCTTCATCCCAAAGAACACAAGAGGCCTTGTCTTGGAAGTGGCAAACTGAAGATGTGGTAGATTTTCTCCTTTACACTAAACCGTCTTCCCTCTTCACCTCACCAAACCTAAGATGATCACTGAACCAAAGTGCATGAAGAAGCCAAGGGATATAAAACAAAACAAAACAAGAAACCAAAAAACAAAAGGCAGAAGAAGGGGAAGGGGTTAAAGAAACAAAACAAAGCAATTTAACTTCTGAGCAGCTGTGGCATAAGAACGTGGATAGTATCTGGGTAAAGATTATGAACATTGTATTTATATGACTAAAAACCAGTGGAGTGGAAAAATTTGAAATGTTTTCGAGTAAAATAAACATTGTATTGTACACGAAGGATTATTTTAGAGGCATCTGTCTGATATGTGGGGTAGGATTTTCTCTTTCTTGCATCAGTGCATTTACACTTTAGTTAACATAGTTTCTAAAGTGCGACCTTTATAAATTTGAAGCCACTGAACCTTCACAACGGAAGAAAAGAAGATGTAATTTGTCTCTATGAAGTGGCAAATTAAGGTCTGCCTTTTTATCTTTTCTTAAGATAATACGTTTTATCTGGCATGATACCATCTTTTCTTGCATTTTCTCTTTATATGGTATAATGATTAACTTAAATTATTTTGAAACAAAAGCATACTGTCCATCCTTCACTCAAACTCTTATTAATGTGTTAGAAAAAAAAGTGAATTTTCCATTTTGGATTAACAAGAGTCTTGATGGGTTTCACTGAAGGGAAAACTTTTTTTGTATGTGTGAAGAAAAAAGTAGTTCATTTTAGTTGTAATAAAAGTTGCAAACTTTTTTTGTTCGAAAATATTTTTCTCTTGTGCTTAAGCAATTCTATCTATCAGTTTTGGTTGTTAAGTTAATCACATTCTAAAATTAGCTCTGAGCTTGTTATAAAAAGAAAAAGTACAAATTTAACCTGCAATCCTATTAGCCTAAAACTCAATGTATTTTCACCCAGGAACTCAAGTGTTTTGCTTGTTGTCAAAATATTCTATTTGAGCCAACATATTTTTCTTACATGCAATCCATTAAAAGACAAAAATAAAGCTTTCCAGTCCATGCAAAGGTATGAGATAAAGTTAGCAATGGAGAATCCAACTACAGTGTAGTAAACTCAATCCATTCTCTTTCTATTTAATGAGATCAATAGAAAAAAAGTACCTTAAATATCATCTTGCAAAAACACAGACACATTTACTTAAATGAATATATTATACAATTCACACATACACACAGAACCAGAGCTACATGTAACAGCCAGAAACCAACAAAAAGTGGTGTGCAAAGCCAATGTGAAGAAAGCACATGAACACACAGGGCGGCAGCTGATTTTTGCACCTGGTAAAGCCATAATGGAAAGATCAGCAGGTCAGAAGCAAAGCGAATAAGGGCATATGATGCAGGCATGCAATGAGGACACCAGAGAAGGCAAGCCACTGCACACAGACTTTATGGAGTTAATGTATGAAAAAGCTTACTTCATTTAGAAAGCTCACTAATTGGTCTACCGTTAAATAATCAGTTTTGTCTCCATTGCTGAAAAGAAATTTATTAGAAAAAGTAAGTTTTTGTATATGATGCTACAGTATGTACGATTTACATGTTGACATTTGTTGATGATAATTCTAAACTTATTTTCTAACCCTGAAGTAGTGGTGAATTCTTAAAATGGCCAGAGACTGTTCATAAAGGGAGAAAAATAAAACAACAACAACAACAACAACAGAAGGAAAACACTCCCACTAGGTCACAGAAAAAGTCTGCAATTTTTTTTTTTTTTTACCGTTTTCAAAAGATATTATTTCAAAAACAACATGTAAGTCATCCATTTGAAATAATTGGAATGAATCAACTTTTCAAAAACATATTAACATTCCAAATTGAATCTAGTTAGTTCACATAATGGGTTAATACCTAAAGGAGCAGGTTAAAATTGTAGGTAGTTAGTAAAGCCAATGCAAAAAAAAGTTCCAGGTGCTGCAATTAATATACGTAAAAGTTTCTCAAAAACTCAGAGTGAACTTTTACACTGATAAAGTATGGGGTTAAAAATGTAACCCTGACTAGATATTCCTAGATGCTACCAACATACTCTATTAAAATAGGACAAAAACGTTTTAAAAAATCGAAAAGGACAGTGATAATATTTATATGGCACTTCCTCATAAGTGGAACTTACATTTTTTTGAAAAGATCTTCTATATCTGTCCGAGGACAAATCTTTTGTGTCAGTTCATAGAACTTTTCATAAGAAAATGCTGTGGGCTCAATTTCATCATTCTGTAAGGAATAAAATCATGTTATGAATCACAGAACCGTTTTTCCCTTGGAGGGTGAGAAGCTACAGGGTCATGAAGCACAGTGAAGACCACTTGGACTCAGGGTCTTCATCTCTGATTCCTGCTGACAGAAGCCAGGAGGCCAACTTCCAGGCACTGCCAGGCCATCTCACTAAAAAACAGTGCGTGTACATCAGTGTTTCTAGTTATCATGCTGCCAGATTCTGTGTGTGCGAACACCTGGCTACAGCTGGCCTTGCTCTGGGAAATACCCCAAAGAACGAATATAAATATTTCCTCCAACTCACCTTGAGGGAGAAAAGTGCCTGCCTGAGGGATGCTGAATAAATCAAGCCCAAGGTTTAATTATGCTTATTTTGTGAATTTTTGCAAGACCATGTGAACGGGCTTAGGGTAACCATGTAAGATTTTACTTTTCAAACTGAAATTTATATTTCAAATAGGACTTATTAAAATAGTACCAGGCTTCAATCTTTCTTCAAGTCAATAAATTAATTTCAATTATTTTAAATTTGAAGGGCCATGAATACAAATGGTGCGGGGAGAGATGCTTCACAAAATATTGCATAGCCATCTTGTAGAATTGAATTTATTAGTTAATTATTCATGCTAATGTTGTGCCTGGTTGAGGCAGTGTTGGTGAGCTTCTCTAAAATAAAAACTGTGTAACACAGCAAGCTGGCCTTCATTTCCTTTTCTTAAGAAAGGTGACAAAAATCATTTGAAGCAAACTATTTACATTTTTAGAGATTTAGGTTAAAATGCCCAGGCAACAAAAGGAAGGAAGGGAGGAAGGAAAGGAGGGAGGGAGAGAGGAAGGGAGAGGGAGGAAGAAGAAAGAAAAGAAAATTAACTGTACTATATGTCACTGACATATAATTCCAAATCTAATTTAGATCAGTTTAATATAAATAATCTAGCTCATTACATATGAGAAGATAAATAAACAAAATGGTTTTAGAAATACATTATTAAGTTAATGCATACCTTTCCACTGGGAAGACCTAACTCCTTGAGTGCTTGAAAGATCACCTTTTCTGTTTTTCCCGATGCAAATGTTCTAGTAATACTAGGGCAGAAAAGAAAGAAACACACATTCCAGTTATTGTTCATTATGTTTTCTCTGATGCAAAGATCCAGGTCCTACTATGGAGAGTGAGACTAGGGTAAAAGGAAGAGGAGAATAAAATTACCTCTCATTGCAGATGTTTTTCATTTCCCAAACTAGTTCCTCCAGTGTCCCTCTGGTTCCCAGAGCTGGTTAGTCTAGTGATGCAACTTGAATCTAAGACCAGGGGTCCCCCTGGTGCTTGGGAGAACAAGGGGCAAGCGGCACTGGAGGGACACACATTTATTTTTTATTTTTTATTTTTTGAGACAGAGTCTCACTCTGTCACCTAGGCTGGAGTGCAGTGGCGCTATCTCAGCTCACTGCAACCTCTGCATCCCAGGTTCAAGCAATTCTCCCGCCTCAGCCTCCCAAGTAGCTGGGACTACAGGTGCACGCCACCACACCTGGCTAATTTTTTGTATTTTTAGTAGAGACGGGGTTTCATCATATTGGTGAGGCTGGTCTCAAACTCCTGACCTCAGGTGATCCACCCACCTCGGCCTCCCAAAGTGCTAGGATTACAGGCATGAGCCACAGCGCCTGGCCTGGGACACACATTTTTGGACAAAAACAATGATAAATTCTGATGCTACCAAATTGCCTTCTTATGAAAAAGGAATGTGGCAGATAAGACAGTAGCTCTAGAACAAACCCTCATGTTGACAATAACTGGGCCTAGGGAAAAGGAGGCGGCCCCTTACAACTCAATCCATGCCTTCAGTTGTCCTTATCCTGGTTCCCACACTTAACCACAGTTGACACGGGCGTGATCAGACATATTTTGTTCTTGTTTTCAAGCTAAGCACCCTTGAGCCCCTCTGAAATGTCAGCTGCCTCAAGGATAAGGGACTTTACTGTCAACATGATGGGTTGGGTGAGGGGGAAGGGGAACAATTATCCAATGTTTCAACAAATCTCAGTAGTACCCCAAGACATAGTATTTTTGGATAGCCTTTTAACTAGAACAGTGAGCATCAAGGCTAGTAGAATAGATAACACCTTGATGAACACACTTCCTGGTGATGATAAAAGTTAGGAGAGACTCTCCATTATAAATGTGTTGGTGCCACTCAGAATGAAAGCTATTGAGCAGAGGACTTGGTACCCTGGAACACCACACTTGGCTCTGAGCCATACCTTAGCCACCAAGGAGCCTTCAATCGCTCCCTGATTGGAAGCCCAGGTAATGTGTTACCATGATAATTTCATTTTAACTCGACATTCAGAAGTCCAGCTTGACTTGAGGATGGAGTTTTACTTCTATCCATGAGGGCTGGCTTTGGAATGCCTCCCCTGTGAGCACAGAAGGATTTTTAACAGCATCTCATGCCCAGCGTTTTTGTACTTTCCGCCATCCGTGCTAAGTAGAAGGCAAGTTCTGAATGAGAGTGCTGACAGTTCCTCTTCCTGAGTGGGAGAAAGCACCACTTCAGTGGCAGAGTAGGACTTCCCAAAATAGACTAAGAAGTAGCTGTAGGTAAATGAATTATGTGTTCATTCACAGCTTTATTGTTTCATGCCAGGTCCAAGAATACTTCAAGAAGTACATTTTTAAGAGTTCTTGAGACAGTTGTATTCAAATATAAGGAGGCCTGTGAATTCTCTTTAACAAATCTACAAATATGGGAGAGAATATGTGTGTGACATCAATAAATGGTTAAGATTCCTAGTATAGAGGGTGCTATGTTTACATTTTTCATCTCTAGAGTTCAGGTAATTTTTATACATTAAATTTGGGGTAAGACAAAAATTTTGTAGCCTTTTTAATTTAGGGGAAAGTAGCTGTTCAGGGTGACTATTATTTCATAAAAAGTTTGTGTTAACCTAGCTAGTAAGACTCTGGCAGGATCTGGCATTTGCTCTCAGGAGAACAATCTTTGCATAGCAATCTCAGGGGTATCCCAGCTAACTGAAGCCTCTGTTAGGTTTGGACATGCCTGGCATAACGAGATGAAAACTGATCAACGTGGGCATGAAATCAGCGGGTGTGGAGACTGAGCCTTTCTGGTGAAACAGAACCTGGGTACCAATAGCTTCTGTTTCCTACACAGAAATTGAATCTTTTGGCTAGGGTTTGGCCAGGTGCCAACAAATAGAAAGTAGAAGAATGTCTCAAGGGGAAGGGAGATGGAGGGGGCCAAGAAGGGAGATAATATCGTGGCTGTGTTTCATGGGAACATAGAGCATTTACAAAGGGAATGTGATTTACTCAAATCTCTATATAGCCCCATGTTCACATAAGCTTAGTGCCTCATAGCTAACTGGTACTCAATGAGTTTTTGTTGAATCAAACTAAACCACCCCCATTCCCCAAAAGAAATGCTACAAAAGCAAACACCCCTGAGTTGTGTCCAGTCCTATTAGAGTCCTGGTTAAATTCTATTCCGGGGGACTTCGCAAGTGGCTAAAACAGCAACGATCCTAGAAACTAAGGGAGTCCCACTCTTTGCTAGCTGAAACAGGGTCTGCAATCTACACGATGGTTTTAACACCGTGTTCTGAAAGTTACAGAGAACTCTTGAGTGAAGGATGGGGCAACTGCCCCAGCAGAATCATACCTTCTTCGTGGGCTGCTGGGCCTTCAGGACATGGTTGGGCTGATTATATAGGGATGCTTCCAAGACGGCACCTGCGGCTCTCAGCCTTCTTTAACACAGCCGTTTTGTTTGGGATCTCTTCCAGCCCCTGCCCACAACTACTGTCTGGCTACTCACTTCCCAATTTTCTAGTCATTGGTGTTCACTCCAGGTTACGAGAGAGGAGGGAAGGTGGCAAAAGAGAATTGCTATTTCCAAAACTTTGGTCTGAGTGGGAGGATAAACTGAGTGTAAATTTGTGAATTTGAGAGAAAGGCAGACTGCATGGGTTATGTAAACAGCAAGACAAGAGAAGAGGGAGACAAAAGGTAAGACTTTCTTCATGTGTTATTCCTGCAACTTCCTGGATATTAAATTTTGGTTTAATGCTAAAGAGCAGGAACCATTCCCAAGCTATGTAATCACTATGAAGCCAGATCTCTTTTAATATTATGGACAGTACACTAATAGTTTCCATTTTAGAAACTTCAGAATGATAGTGAATAACATTTTAAAAGTGTTTACTCTTCATATCCATTAAAACATACACAACAATTTCCAACTAACTCTTGGCAGCTCATTCACCAATAGAGTTATCTGATTTTTTTTCTGGCATGGTATCAATTCTCCATCAACTCTAACAAACTGCCCCCAAATCACAGCCGTCTTGTGTCAAACACCTGTTAATACTGGCAAGCACCATGGAGTCCATGTCAAAGAGAGCTAAAGAAGATGCCAAAATATCTAAGCTATTTCTACAAAAAGGTGGTAATAATTTTGTATGTGAACATGTTAGATAAAAATCACTGGAATCAGAAACGACTTCAAAGCTTGTATGACAATGACTTGATTCATAGGATACATACAAATGAAACCAAGACTGCTGGTTAGAAGTGCTTTGATCACAATCTATGTGTCTCTACTTTGCCCATTTCCTGAACCTCATCTTGGAAGAAAAAGCAGGATAGTAAGGCATGTAAAAACACATCCAACCTACATTTCTATTCTTCACACTGCTTTGTGCTCTCTGATTTTAAATAAAAATGCAATAGCTGTAGGGTACTGGGATACATTAAAATAATTGTTCTGCTATTACTCAACTGAGCAAAGGATTTTAAATAAGGATAAGCATAAAGTATCTGCCAACAACCATCAGTCAAGGCTGCTAACAGGGCTTTTTTCAATCTTCTAAAGCAGACTAAAAGTTGACTTGCTAGCAAGTTATTAAATAAAAGCAGAGAATCCTACAGATAGATTTGGAAAGACCACAACAAATGCATGAGGTCCATGACTCAACAAGCCCTCAATAAAGAGTTAAATTTAAAAAAAATTGTCTAAGGTCTTCATGACTTCTGTGCTTTACATTTTCTCGATATTTAAGTGGTCACATGGATACTTTAGGTCGTGATTGTTTAATATACAAGATTGAGAAAAATGAGGTCTTCTGGGACAATTCTGTTAAATATGAAAAGAGTAATGTCAAGGGAGTATGGAGATAGTCTCACAGGGATGCAGAATGGAAGCTGCAGAGCAGAATGAAGCAGCTGGGCAGGGAAGGAGGCAAAGGAGAGTCAGAAATGCCAGGAGCCACAGCACATGCCACTGCTCAATGCATCCACACAGATGCTACGCACTCGGTGACCTGGTTATTTCTGAAAGACAGATCAATTCTAAGACAGGATTCCACCCAGTAGTTCTGGGTTTTGTTTGTTATTATTTGTTGATTTGCGTATTTGCTAAAGTGGTGTCCAGAGAAGTGAACATGAACCTGAGTCTGGAGAACCCTGGAAGAGAGAGTTGGCATCTGGGGAACCCATGTTTGATTCTGGTTGTGGGCTTAGGTTCACGAATCCAGATACATGCCTGTCTTCATGTGAAAAGCAGATGCCCTGGGGCCCAGCCCAGCTTCTGGAATTTCCATGAATGCTTAAAACAAACACCAACCAAAAAGGTACTGAAGAGTTTGGTAAAGAATTCCCATCACTACTGTGGAAAGAGTTTCCAACTGTACCCAGAGACCATGTGTAAACCCTAACCCCTGGAAGGAAGTGAGAAGCAGAAAAGAGGGATGCATGGGGAATCCTCAGAGGGTGAAATCTGTCCACTTAAGTATTAAAGAACACATGTGGAGGATGTATCCTGTCCATGTTTTCTTTATTCTTGATTCCACTCAAGTCTTTTTTTTTTTTTTTTTTTTTTGAGATGGAGTCTCACTCTGTCACCCAGGCTGGAGTGCAGTGGTGCCATCTCGACTCACTGCAAGCTCTGCCTCCAGGTTCCATGCCATTCTCCTGCCTCAGCCTCCCAGTAGCTGGGACTACAGGTGCCTGCCACCACACCCGGCTAATTTTTTTTTTCTTTTTGTATTTTTAGTAGAGACGGAGTTTCACTGTGTTAGCAGGGATGGTGTTGATCTCCTGACCTGTGATCCACCCGCTGCGGCCTCCCAAAGTGCTGGGATTACAGGTATGAGCCACCATGCCCTGCCTCAAGCCTTTTTATTCTTTGTCATTGTTACCTGCATCAGGGCAAAGGTGGAAAGGATAGCTCCACAGAGTGTGTGGTGTCAGTTACAGTACATGTAGAGAGTAGGCAGCACGAAGCCAGAGAAGTATCCCCATCTGCCCTGAGCACCAGAGGAGCAGCAAAGCCCAGAATGAAAATGCTCTGTTCAGAGGCATCACACTTCTCAAGACACGGTCCACACCCTTCCACAGTAGGTGCACAATAAAATCTTCTTTAAGTTTAGCTAACAGTTTCTCATGGCAAATAAGCAAAAGAAACATAAATCCTAAAAACCACTTATTTGCCGATTTTAAAAAATAGTTCTACATTTTCTGATGTTCTTTAAATTGTCAAAGTACCTCTTTTGCCACCTATTTTGACCAAAAAAATGCAGTTTTACTTCCATAAATGATTTTTACAAACTGAATATAGCATTTGTCAAAGCAATTGAAACTAAGATTCCAGAAATATCTTTAAAGCATTTAACACACAAATACTTGTGAAGGGTTCTCTCTTTGGTTTGGGATGACAAGCGTTGACCCGGGACACGGACAGCAGATAGGAATGATTACTTACCTCCTAACTGGAATTTTACCATTTGTGTTGGTCATAAATGCCAATTTCATCCAGCTGCAAAACAATAGCAATAACATTGCCTTAATGTTTCTTAGAGGGAGCAGCTTCAATTCTGTTAAGAACTTTAAAAGAAAGTTCATTTAAATCAAGAACATTGGTTCTGAAAATCAGACAATTATGTGCTATAAGATGAATTTAGGGTTGTCAGATTTAGCACATAAATATATAGAGCTCTCAGTTAAACTTGAATTTCAGAAAAACAACAGGTAATTTTCTTTTACTGTAAGTATGCTCCAAACATTCCATAGGATATACTTATACTAAAATATTTTTGTTTCTTATCTAAAATTCATATTTAACTAAGTGTCCTCTATTTTATCTGGCAACCCTAGCTAAATGAGATGACTGGGTGCCTCCATTGAGCAAAACACATTGTTGGTACTTATTTGTGATTGGTCTGCTCGATTATTGCTCTGTAATAATATATTAAGGTGGTGGGAAATGCAACTGCACGGTGACAGCAGCCAGCCTTGTCTTGAGAATTCATGAGGACTCATCACTCCCAGCTCCTAGTGCTGCCAAGTACTGATCACATGGGCGCCTCCTTAATTTCCAGTGGTAAGACTAGTTCATCAACTCAAATTGATGGTGAAAAATTCCTTGCTTTCCCCAGGCTTTTAGGAGACTCAGAACATTTATCTGTACTTTGGAGCTAGGACTTTTCTTAGCTAATGACTCCCATTCTTCCTGTTTCCAATCAATAATGTGCTAACAATTTGCAGAACATGATGATTTAGTAAAGTTTCTGTCTTAAGTTTCGTAGAAGCACCACTAACTACTTTAATAACGGGATGTTTTAGGGATGAAGAGAGTGAGAGAAGACTGAGCAGAAAAAAGAGTTAAACAAAGTTGTGGTTTCAGATGGAGCTTGATTTAGCTTGAACTCATGTGATTTGTGCCAGACTTGGCGGCAAGAGGGATGGCCTTCTGTACCCTGTTGCAGCTCATCATTGGCTGTGGACTTCCTCCTGGAGGAGGGAAGAGTATAATCTTCCAGGAATGGAAGCTCCCCTTCAGCAGAGGGCAATGCTCTGAAGAAGTGGACAGGTCTGAGCCCTTGGTGAGCCCATTCTCATGGCAGATGATGGCTGGGTGAACACCAGCTTCATAAAGGGATCTGGGCAGGATGTTGTTAGATCTCATGTCAGATAGAGATATTTGTGTCACTCAGGTATAAGCAAGCCTTCTAAAAGTTTTTGACCCTTTAGGACTATCAGTGCCTGAAGTCATAACATCAGAATATCCACTGGGTTTCTCTTTAAAAACACATGCCAGGGCAACTGCAGAGGAAAAGAAGAAGCAGCTGCACAACACATAGAAATAGATAAGACTAAATAACTTTCCTCCACTAAAAGGGTGAAAGAAAATTGGAGGGATACCATAACAAGATAAGTAGTATTGAATAAAGAATACTTTCCAATTTCATCTGCATGGTAATTTTGATTCACAGATGAGGACAGTGAGGCACAAGTGTAAGAATTTGCCATGGTGAAGCCGGGATTTATAGCCTAGAGACCACACCTGTAAGCACCTGCCACAATGACCAGAAGATAAGACATGACAGTACCTTTAGGACTAACCTCTTGGCCCATTGCCAAGTGAGTATGATGAATCACACTCTTGGTGCTGGGGCATAATTTTGAGAGATACAGGCTTATCCCTGCAATTTCTCAACATGGTTCCCCTTGGCACCTCACAACTGCCTGCCAATGGCCCTGTGAAGGCAGATGGCCCCCACCTTCACGGATCACTGCTTTTCAAACTGGCTGACATTTGACTTTGGCTAGGATTCCTTTGTGGGTGATTTTCATGTCACCTTGAAAGGTTAACTTGGGTAGGGTTTAAATCTACCACTGTAGTACTCCTCTGGATTTCAGATACTGTAAGCTGGAGTAATTCCTTCTTTCATGGAAAAAATAAATTTGGAAATCACCATTGGATCCTTGATCAAATCTTTAAATAACTGAATCCTACAGAAAAAAATTCAGAGGTAACTTTGGATCCCTGACGGTGTGCTAAACAAGGAGCACTGCACTTGGGGCTGAGGCTTCTTTTTCAGGTGCATTGGCAAGTGCGTCTCTTGGTCACACTCCTCATTTCTCAGTTTTATGCAGCAGAGGATAGAATTACCCCAGCACTCAGCGATGGCTCCAGACATGCAGAGCTGTCTATCAGAAAACTCAATCTGGGGACACAAAAGCCAGTACCCACAACTGACAGCATACAGAGTGACTGAGGTTCCAGTGTCCTTTGACCATCAACTATTCTTTTCATATAGGTTTTGGGCTATGGGTTTATCATGCATGCCTTTCTACGTGGTATGAAGAGTACAGGTGTGTGTTGGTCAACTCCAAGGTCAGGAGCATGGAGGGAAAGGCAAGCAGGAATTTGGAGGAAGGAACCACCTAGCCTTCATCTCTTCATCTGACCATTTGTTTGATAACTGCCAAGAAAAACGAGTAATGCAAACAACACTCACTGTTTCTTGAGGCATGTCATTGGACTGACGTTGTTGGCCCTGAAGTTGTGTATGATTGATCTCAGGCCTTCTACCCATTGCTGAAAGAGAAAGAAAAAATATTCTTGGTGAGCAAATCTGCTGGAGTCAAATAGAGCAGTTTTTATTAGATAGATTGTATCCATTTTGTGTAATAAAAACACAAACTCTTCTTTTGTCCCTTTCCTGTCACACAGCCATCTATATTTTGCAGGCTCATATTTTATTCTTTAATAAACAGCTTTCATTCTTTCCATGAAGACAAATGTGCCATCTATTGTGCCATTAAACTCTGGGCTGCCACAAAGGAATGTTGCCCACTGACTGACTTGTGAAGCTTTCTATTTGCAGCTTGTTTAAATATAAGCCCTTTTTCAGTTGCTGGCAATCTTAATTATTTCCAACCAGCATTATAAAATACATGACATATTTAACTATTTTCACTTTAGAGGATAAATGAATAGGGGTTCATCAATTTTATTGTGTGATCCTTTCAATCTAAGAGTTTGTTACTTATCTTACCTATGTTTTCCAGCAAAGCCTTAAAAAGAAAAACATTCTTTCATTGCCAGGGTGATCAGAGCAAACAGCGATGTGCTCACATAATTTCTGTATAAGGACTTGGACCTCACTTGTAGTTCATACCATCACTCCACTGTTTTACAAGGACAAGTGAAGGGAAATTGTGCATGGCAGTAGAGGAATTTGGGTCTCTAAAAGGGCATTTACTAGAAAAGCTCAGCCCATGAATTAAGGCCAACTCTGCCCTTGGGTCCAAAAACTGATGCCAATGAATGCCATAGAAGAATCATACCCTCGGCAAAACACTTCGT
The DNA here is from genome assembly GCF_000001405.40 of Homo sapiens. NCBI lineage: Eukaryota > Metazoa > Chordata > Mammalia > Primates > Hominidae > Homo > Homo sapiens. Next base: position 9,362,124 of record NC_000020.11, on the reverse strand, counting down.
AGCAAATTGACATTTGGGTTAAATAGAACGGTGGCCCACACATAAGCTGATTCCTTACCTTCTTAGGTTTACAGCCTGACTGCTTAGATTTGCGGCTTAGTGCTGAGGAAGGAAAAATATCTTGGAATAGATAGTAATATAGACGTATACTCTATATGCACTGTCTAGTATGGTATCCACTAGACACATATGGCTATTTAAATTTAATAAATATAAAGTTCAGTGTCTCATTTGCACTAATCACATTTTACATGCTTAAACATCAACATGGGGTTGATGGCTCAGACAGTGCAGATAATTTCCATCATCACAGATGGGACTGTTGGACAGCACTGCCCAGTAGAACCAGGTTTTAAAAAGTCAAGCAATTTAATCTCTGTAAGGGCAAAGGTGATGACTGCGTTCTAACAGAGTATGGTTTTGTTTTGTTTTTTGCTGTTTAACCTTTCTTTTAATTTTAATTGTGTTAAAAATGGACATAACATAACATTTATCACCTTCACCATTTTTAAATGAAAAATTCAGTGGCAGTAAGTACATTCATGTTGTTATGCAACCAACATAACCAGCCATCTCCAGAACTCTTTTCATCTTGCAAAACTGAAACTCCATATCCATTAAATAACTCCCCATCTCCCCCTCCTCCCAGCCATTGATAAATATTAATACCATTCTCCTTTCTGTCTCTGTGATTCTGACTATGCTAGGTGCCTCATATAAATGGAACCATACAGAATTTGTCATTTTGTGACTGGCTTTCTTCACTTAGCATAAAGTCCTCAAAGTTCATCCATGCTCTACCATGTGTCGGAATTTCTTCCCTTTTAAAGGCTGAATAATACACTCATCCATTCACCTCTGATGGACTCCCTGTCCATTGTGAATTGCATGTCTGCTATGAATATTGATACACAAATAAGTTACTGCTTTCAATTCTTATTTATGGATAAATAACCAGATGTGGAACTTCTGGATCATATAGTAATTCTATTTTTTAATTTTTAAAGGAAATACCATACTGTTTTTCATCGTGGCCATACCATTTTTCCCCCACCAACAAAGGACTGCAAATGCAACAAGGGAACCCTTTTGCTCAGGGTTCTAATTTGTCTACATCCTCAACAACACTTGATATTTTCTGGGTTTTTTTGTTTGTTTGTTTCTTTTTTTAAGTAGTAGCCAAACTAATGGATGTGAATCTAACAGTTTTTGCTGATCCTGGTCACACCTAACAGTTTTCTGAGGGAAGACTTAGGGGTTATAAGAGGTAAATTTTCTTTTGTGACTAGCAAAAGCAGAGCTGTAAATAGCATCGAAAGCCTCAGCAAGCATCATAGTGGGGTCAGGATTCTGAAGGAAGATGAAGAAATGAAATAGTAGAATTAAAGAAATGCCTCAATTATTTTTCATCAGCAGAACTCACTTCCTCTGTCAGGCTAAATATGGACTATAACTCCCTGCAGACTATCAAATATCCTGTTATTGACCTAACAAACCACAGGCCCACACAGAGTTTCCCAAGAATAGACAGAAAAAGCACAAATAATTGGGTTGGCATTAACTGGGATGCATTTTCTCAACCTGCAGGCTTACTACATGTTCTAAAACACAAAACAAAGTCCATAGTTTCCTAGACAAAAAAAAAAAAAGTGGACAATTTCTGAGACTGTTCACTGGGCTTTTTCTGATCATTCTAATTTAGTTGTTTGTCGAAATAAATTACAGAGATGGTGCACTTTGAAGAGGCTTAAATAACTTTCATTCATCTTTTGAACATACAACGCTGGCAAGGAATCTTGTTTATTGTGATGGAAAGGTCAGTGAGAGTGACCTTTAAGGCCATCACTCCAGTGACAGGGCCCATGCTTTAGTTAGTAGGAAATGCCACCAGCATCCTCAGAAGCCCTAAAGGGAACTGGGAGGGAAGGTTGCTGCCTCTTTCTTCTTGCAATGATGAAAGTGAGGTCAATGGCCTTGCCTAAGGTCACAGAGCAGCTGGTGCAGGGCAGACAGGCAACAAGAGCTCTGTGGTACATTCTTCGTGTTGGGGATTTTTATTTTCACCCAATGGCTTGCCCACACTTCTCTCCTCACGACATGGTAAAGGCCCCTTCTATTATCGTTCAGGTAAAGTACAAGTAACATAACAAGGGCAAAGGACTGCAGGAAAAATATTAATGATTCTTTGTCTTGTTGGGGTTTTTTTAACATAAAGTAGATGAAATGCCAGCAGGTGTCAGTAGAGCCCTGGAGTTTTGTTGGAAAGTTACGCCAGGCGTGAACTAGATGCCTATCAACTTGTTTGACCATTTCCAGACTAACAGAAGCAATAAACCACGAATTGGATTCTTTCTTGAATTGCTGAAAATAAGCTCGTGTGGTAATCATCTACATAGTGTCCAGGAAGCGCATTTTCCAGTCCTTGGAACACAAGTCATTGGCTGGATGGCGACACGCTCCTGAGATGACTTCTGCCACACGGGGCACTTTCCTTCTGGTCCGGCCACCCCAAGCCGAAGCCTGAGCCTGGGTGCTAGGGAACCAGACCACAGGAGGTCGGCTCTGATGTTCGGATCAGCACGGTTTCCCTGTTTCCCTAGCAGCTTGTTAATTGCTACTGTTCTCCCATTTTTTTAACCTTTTCTAACCATTCCTAAGTTAACTTAAAGTGTGTTTCAGCCCTTCTAAGAAGAAGGGGGAAAGAAAGACTCTTCAAGGGACTTGAGGGCTTGTGCTGAATTGTTTGGAGGGCAAGGAGAGAAAGAGAAGCTGCCTCTAATTCTCTCCTGGAGCTTTTGACCTCTCCTCTGGGACTCCTTAAATTTATTTTCACCACCCCAGGCCCTGTCCAACTTCCAGGCATATGTTTAGACCTTGCTCTTACCCATCTATCACCTTTGCCCCGGGAACATTAGGACTGACATAGACAAAAATAATCCCTTTCCCATGAAAATACAAACGTAGAGAGACACAGATACAACAAACACAAACCAAAAATACTATGAACTTACACTGAGCATATATTTTACTTTTTTCTTTTAAAAATATTGGTTAGGGTTTTTCCCCCAGTTTATGAAAACAATATTTAAATATGCTTCATAGGAAAGTGTAAAGCAAAGAAATACACAGTAAGAAGTAAACATCACCCCAAATCTCATGACGTATATTAAGAATTGGCCACCAATAACATTTTGCTTTCGGTATTTCCTTTTTTTGTTGTTTTTTTGAGATGGAGTCTTGCTCTGTCGCCCAGGTTGGAGTGCAGTGGTGGGATCTCGGTTCACTGCAACCTCTACCTCCCAGGTTCAAGCGATTCTCCTTCCTCAGCCTCATGAGTAGATGGGATTGTGGGTGCCCACCACCACTCTCGGCTAATTTTTTTTTTGTACTCTTAGTAGAGAGGGGGTTTGACCATGTCGGCCAGGGTGTGTTGAACTCCTGACCTCAGATGATCTGTCCGCCTTGGCCTCCCAAAGTGCTGGAACTACAGGCGTGAGCCACCGTGCTCAGTCTGCTATTGGCATTTCTAAGCTTTCACTAGGCACAGGCTGGCCCGTCATCCTAAAATAACTAGTCCTATTATTCATCAGGCAGCACTACTTCCAATCTTAGGGTTCCAATCTTATCTCTAGGTTTTGATCCTGAAGAATTATTTTTCGTCTTTAGTCAAAGAAGCATATTGTCAATGGAAAAATGAACAGAGACCCTGTGGCACTCTCCAAGTTTGTGATGTAATTTTCTCCAAAGGGACTCAGTAGCATCCTCCTTCATCTTTTGATGTTTGGCTCTCTGTTTTCACAGAAGAGGCTACTAGTGAAGGTATCTTAATTAAGTTGTTCAAAAGTTAACTAGAGGCTTGTTATTAAAATGTAGTCTGGGGACCAGCAGCATCAGGATCACCTGGGAACTTGTTAAAATGCAAATTATCAGGCCTCCGGCTGAATCAATCTTCAGGATGGGAAATAGGAATCCACGTTTTAATCAGCCTTCCCTGTGATTCTTTTGCACACACACATTTAAGAAGCACTGTTGCAAACCCTTACTACTCAAAGGGCCCCAAGACCAACAGCATCAACATCATCTGGGAGCTTGTTAGGAATGCAGAGTCCCAGGTCTCATCCCAGAACCATGGAATCAGAATCTGCATTTTAGCATGATCCCCAGATGACTGGTGTGCACATTAGAATTTGAGAATCATAGGTCTAAAAGAGCAGCCCCCCTCAACTTGGAGTTCTCCTTCCACTGCCCATATAAGATGTGAGTTTGGTTTTTGTCTTTGTTTGACACACAACAAAATACAATATATGGGTAGCTTATAAGCAACAGAAATTTATTTCTCACAGTTCTGGGGGCTGGAGAATCCAAGATCAAGGCGCCAACAGATTCAGTGGCAGCTTTCTAGTTCATAGGTAGTGCCTTCTAGCTATGTCCTCATGCAGTGGAAAGGGCAAGGGGGCTATCTGGTACCTTTTTAAAATAAGGACACTAATCCTCTTCCTGAGGGCTCCACACTCATGACCTAATCACCTCCCAAAGGCCCCATCCTCTAATGCCATCACCTTAGAGGGTAGGATTTCAGTTTATTAATTTTGGTGGGACACAAGCATTCAGGACACAGCAGTTTCCTAAGGGAGCTGCTGTTTCTGAGAGTGACTACACACAGGATATTCTATCTCATAGTGATAGCCCTGGGAAGAGCCCCATGGTTCTAGACCCACTCTTGGTTTTTGTCATGTCCCACCCCACCTGGGCTGAACAAATGTGTTCACTAGAATGGAAACTCTGACCTTTTTAGGGGATTGAAGTTCACATTTCTTGTATGTGGAAGCAAGAGGATGCAAGATGCTATAGGCAGCAGCTTTCATCTTCCCTATATCTGAGCTGTGAGAATAATCAATGACGGGGCCATCTGAAATATTTAAAACATGGGAACTTCTTGGTATCGACAACTCACAAATCTAGATCAATTAATTTTGTTGTTTTCTTGTTTTACTTTTCTATTTGTTTTGAGACAGGGTTTTGTTCTGTTGCCCAGGCTGGAGTGCAGTGGCCACAATCAAGGCTCACTGCTGCCTTGACCTCCCTGGGTCCAGATGATTTTCCCACCTCAGCCTCCCAGAAGCTGAGACCACAAGTGTGAGCCACCACACCCAGCCAATTTTGGTATTTTTTGCAGAGATGGGGTCTGGCCATGTTGCCCAGGTTGGTCTCAAACTCCTGGGCTCAAGCTATGTATCTGCTTCGGCCTCCTAAAGTGCTGGGATTACAGGCATGAGCCACTGCACCTGGCCCATTTTTGTTTAAGTGAATGGAGATAAGAAAAAGTTGGCATTTTTCAAGTAGCTACTTTCAAGGTGCCTAAATTGCTCTATCCATCAGTTTTAATCTGCTCAAATAATATGTCAGGAATGTATATAATTTGAAATATAGTTTTTGACTCCTTGGCACTGTGAATTCTGTTAAGACCTAAAGGGCATTCAAGAGAAATAAGACACATTTCCATGCACTTGGAGCAAACTATGAAGCTTTTCAAATAAAGATTGCCACAGGATCTAATCTTGTCTAAGATAGAATTCCTTATAAGGTGCTTAGATGTAAAACTGCAACATTTCACAAATCTACAGATGAAGGCTATTCAGTGCAGGAACTACACCTTCATCTTAAGCTAGAAATTTAGTTTCATGAAGGCATTTGAGTTTTAGCTTGCCATGAAATATAGCCAGTGCCTCAGATTCTAAAATAAATAGGGACTGTAGATAAATCACCACCAACATGTTTCCTCTTATGAGTCTATAAAAACATGGCAAAATTGACAAATGGGATCTAATTAAACTAAAGAGCTTCTGCACAGCAAAAGAAACTACCATCAGAGTGAACAGGCAACCTACAAAATGGGAGAAAATTTTCGCAACCTACTCATCTGACAAAGGGCTAATATCCAGAATCTACAATGAACTCAAACAAATTTACAAGAAAAAAACAACCCCATCAAAAAGTGGGCAAAGGATATGAACAAACACTTCTCAAAAGAAGACATTTATGCAGCCAAAAGACACATGAAAAAATGTTCATCATCACTGGCCATCAGAGAAATGCAAATCAAAACCACAATGAGATACCATCTCACACCAGTTAGAATGGCAATCATTAAACAGTCAGGAAACAACAGGTGCTGGAGAGGATGTGGAGGGGTGGGAACACTTTTGCACTGTTGGTGGGACTGTGGACTAGTTCAACCATTGTGGAAGTCAGTGTGGTGATTCCTCAGGGATCTAGAACTAGAAATACCATTTGACCCAGCCATCCCATTACTGGGTATATACCCAAAGGACTATAAATCATGCTGCTATAAAGACACATGCACACATATGTTTATTGCGGCACTATTCACAATAGCAAAGACTTGGAACCAACCCAAATGTCCAACAATGATAGACTGGATTAAGAAAATGTGGCACATATACACCATGGAATACTATGCAGCCATAAAAAATGATGAGTTCATGTCCTTTGTAGGGACATGGATGAAATTGGAAATCATCATTCTCAGTAAACTATCACAAGGACAAAAAAAACCAAACACCGAATGTTCTCACTCATAGATGGGAATTGAACAATGAGAACACATGGACACAGGAAGGGGGACATCACACTCTGGGGACTGTTGTGGGGTCAGGGGATGGGGGAGGGACAGCATTAGGAGATATACCTAATGCTAAATGACGAGTTAATGGGTGCAGCACACCAGCATGGTACATGTATACATATGTAACTAACCTGCACATTGTGCACATGTACCCTAAAACGTGAAGTATAATAATAATAATAATACAAAATATAAAAAATAAAAAAATTTTAAAAAGCATGGCAAATGAAATCATTTCATTTGAATTAGGAGAAGGTTTAGTTGGCATTAAATTGTCAGTATTTAACTTTGAGGGCAGGCTAAAGGGAAGACATTTCCAGCTAGTACACTGTTAAAAGAACTATGCGGATAGCACTTAGAGAGACTAGACTGGTAGTTCCCAGCACCTGTGGTACATTAGAATCACCTGGGGGAATTATAAGACATTTCAGAAGCCTGGGTCTCACCCTAGAGATTCTAACTAATAATTAGAATGTACTTGGGCTGTCTTTCAATCTGCTTTTTTAAACACTGCAGGTAACTCTAACGTGAACCTATAGTTGAGGACAATTGAACTAGATGATGTGAACTAAATTTGGTTTGGGCAGGTGTTTCTCAAACTTTAATGTGCATTTGGATCACCTGGGGGCATTTGTGAACCACAGAGTTGGATTTAGTAAGCCTGGCATCTGCACTGAGATTCTGCATTTCTAACAAGCTTCCAACAGATACCAGGCAGGCATTTGGGCTTGCCAGATTCCTGTGCCCTAGGCTCACAAGGATACCAGGGCTTGTACCTTATTTCTACACAAATTGCATATCTTGAATACCATGAAGAACTCCACCAAAGAAAAGGTAGTTCCAGTCTGCATTATGCCAGAGGTTCTCAAGTGTGGTTCCCTTGATCAGCGGGTTGAGCATCTCATAGGAATTTACCGGAAGTGCCCATTCTCAGGCCCTATCCCAAATCTACAGAATCAGCAACTTGGGGGCAGGGCCCAGTAATCTGCATTTTAACAAGCCTCCAGGTGTCTATCATGTAGAAACCACTCCAGGAGGCTAGTATCAGAGCACCTGGTGCTAATGAGAGAGAAAATTAACTGAAGGGGGTGTGTAGGTGGCCACTGGAGGGTAGGCTTGTTTTATTTTATTTTGAATTAATTTTATTGAGCTATAATTTATATATAATGATTGATCTTTAAGCTTTGATTCAAATTTTTCAAACGCTAACTAACTACCTTTAGGGTGAGCATTTAAAATTTTAAATTCTCATTCCCTGGTTTTGGATGAAAATTCACACACACCCCACTGCATGTGTTGAAGTATTTGAAAGAAAGTTACAGGCAACATAAAAGCAATGCAGGCAGCTGCAGGGAGGTTGGGTAAGAGGATATTTCACAGCCACAGGAAATTCAGGAGCTGGTGATTTCCAGGATCTCATCAGGCAGCAGGGAGCTGGCCCAGAGGAAGACTGTTGGAAGTTACAGCTCCTCCTGCTTGAGATAGTTCTGGTCTGGAAGATCTGGGCTTCTTGGGATAACTCTTACCAGATGATTCAGTACAGAAACCAGACACAGGTCTACTTTTTAGAATTGGGGTACATGATCAGAACATGACTTGGGCCAGTACAGAAACCAGACAGAGGTCTACTTCTTAAAATTGGGGTATATCAGAACATGACTTGGGCCACCAACTGTCCAGTCCAGACCTAAGGACCAAGGCCAGAGCCAGCAGAGCAGCAGGAGGAGCCAGAGGCTAAGGGCCAGCGTTCCCAAAGCCTGAGTCCCCATTCCCACAGCATTTGGTCCAGGTCTGAGGCCTGGGAATTATAAAACCCCAGTGGCAGAGGTGGAGAGTGGAGAAGCTGATGGTACAGGCAGGACTTGACAAATGAACATTTTATCTTTCAAAGGTATTCATCTAGGACACTAAATCCAGCCTAAAATTAAAAAGGAACAAAACCACTAATGTTTGTTTGTATAACAGACCAACTTCTAAATCATGTTAAGAAGTAAAAATTAAACAAGTTCTCTCTTTCATGTCAGCTGATTTCTCCTGGCTCCACCAAGGACAGACAAGTGCAGGTACTAAGTGTTAGTGTCACAAGATATCAATGTCAGTGTTGGAAACGCCCACATGCCCATGGGACAAGAGGGCAATTCACCATGAACTGTTGCTGCAAGAAAGATGAGTGCAAGAAAAAAGACAGTGAAGACTTTCCTGCATAATAAAGGAGCTAAGCTGCCATCCTACACAAGTCCAGTTGATAAACCCAGGATAGAAAGCTACATCAGTGAGCCTGTGATAATGACTGACAGCAACCTACTTCTGAAACTGGTGGCTAAAAAGCAACAGGACTTTTGCCCCCACAAAAATTAAAAAGACAACCCAACATTAATTTCAAAAGCCCTTGGGAAGTCAATAATAATCCTCATAAAGTTTTCAAATTCTAAAAGAGAAGAATTGAAAGGGGGAAAAAGAGAGCAACTGGGGCCTCTTTTTCTTGACAGTCTGAAGCTACAGAGTAAAATTGATGAAAGTGAAAGAAGAAATATATTAAGTGTCATATGATTTTTAAATCACCCTCAGAGCATGCTGAATGAGTATGTGAGCAAAAAAGAAGCTGCCATCTATTAGCATGGGAGGCTGTATTTGAAAGATAGAACTGAATGGGTGAGGATAATATTTATACATTCCTAGACAAAATTAAATCATATGATTCTTAAATTACCCTCAGAGCATGGTGAATGAGTATTTGTGCAAGAAATAAGCTGCCATCTATGAGTATGGGTGGCTATGTTTGAAAGAGATAATTGAATGGGTGAGGATAATATTTATACATTCCTAGACAAAATTAATTTAGTCACTCCCAGAGAGTCAAAACAGTCTATCAGCCTTGCTGGTTATCTTGACAACACTGGCCAGTTAGGTCAAAAAGAGCCTCTAAATAGTCACAAGAAAAAAGAGGACACCTGTGCTGTTCAGAAGCTGCAGTCCCAAACTTCCATACCAAATGGCTTTGTTAGCATTCCTTAGACACAATTTTTGCATTGCCTAAGCCTGATTCTATATATTAATAGATACCCTGTAGCAATGTCCTATTGGATCTATAGAATCTTGTCACAAATAACTGCATCTATTTCCAAATATCTACTACAATAAATATACTGTTATGGACACAAAAGATCAGGAGGGAAAAATGTATACATAGAGTATACTTACATTAATGCCTATATTCACTTGTGCTTCTGATTTAGATATACAACACATGATGTTCTTTAGTGCCTGAAAGTCCACAGACCAACTACATTCCTACATCCCCAGAAATCTTTCAAAAATAAAATAAGATTTTTGGTTTATTTTATGTAACATTATTTGGCATCCAAATGGAAAGCTCTAGAAGAATGGAGGGATTTTAAAATGTTGAGAAAACCAAAAGCATCATCTTAAGCCAGTCAGCAACCATCAGTTTTTTGACAGCATTACTTTTGGACTCAACTCAGTCAAATTTGTGAAATTCTGTTGGTATGGGATGAGTAAACAGCTGGTGAATTAAAAGGTGTTCATAGAGTTGTTTCTTTAGTTGATGGCCTGTATTTATCGGTCACATTCTTCCTGACAGGTACCTGTTGACAATGTTGGCAAATTAAGTCATGCCAAAGTAAATAGTATTTCAACTTGATGACAATCATACCTGCTTAGTCTGAGATCAATATAATCAATCAAGAAGCCTTTGTCTAACTCTTAACTAGGCAGCATCCACCAATTTAGTTCAAGCAAATCAAATCTATAGGTAATTCTATAAACTAAATAGGACTTTCAATATAAGAGCTACTAAAAGGAATCTAAATCGGTGGGCTTGAGTTTCATTACCTGGTTCTCTGTCTTTTAAGGTAAAGTCTCCCCACACACAGCAGAAAACAGTGAGGAGTGAAGACAAGTGGAAGTGGAAAAACAGGGAAAATAAATAGAATATTTATGGTAAATATGAATAAATGAATCCTTAGATTACATCATTGTTTTGATACTTCTAGAAAAATATTGAGCTGAATAATGCCTCTATGATATAATTTACTGACTTTTATTCAGTGCCACACTGGTTCTGAAAGATGTTAATGGTGTCTCATCAAAAAATTAAAAAAAAAGTTTAGGAAACAGCTGAATAGCTTTCTTCCTTGCTGAGATCCACATAAGAATAATACTTCTTCTGTTGATGGGTGCAGCACACCAACATGGCACATGTATACATATGTAACTAACCTGCACGTTGTGCATATGTACCCTAAAACTTAAAAAAAAAGAGTAAAGCACTAAGACTCAAATATATCTGAGACCCAGCTCCTCCAAAAAAAAAAAAAAGAAATACTTCTTCTGAAAGCACTACCATAAAGAAACCTGTCTAAAGGCTTTCTCATGCTTAGCTGACCAAAGAACCCCCTTTATATGTGGACTTTTTTAAGGAATCCTTTTTTCAGGCCACTAATTCGGGAAGTACTACTGTATGACTATAGCTCCCACAGATAATGATCTTAAAACATTTGCCTAAAAAGTACATTAACATCACACAGTGTTACAGGTGAAAGAGGCTGTTCCCCCCACTCCCTGCCCCAGTTTTTATACAGATAAGCTAAATCAGCCAACTGGCTGTGCACGGTGGCTCACGCCTGTAACCCAACACTTTGGGAGGCCGAGGTGGGTGGATCACTTGAGGCCAGGAGTTTGAGACCAGCCTGGTCAACATGGTGAAACCCGGTCTCTACTAAAAATACAATAATTAGCTGGGCGTGGTGGCATGCACCTGTAATCCCAGGTACTTGGGAGGCCAAGGCACAAGAATAACTTGAACCCGGGAGGCAGAGGTTGTGGTGAGCTGAGAACACACCACTGTATTACAGCCTTGGGGGACAGAGTGAGACTCTGCCTCAGAAAAAAAAAGAGAAAAAGAAAAAGAAGCCAACTGTGAATTGCAGCACAGGGTGGTGGTAGAATTCAGGATCTAGAGCACTAGAGAGAGCCACTGCCTGGGCTCAAAACACCACTTACTGGACGTATGGCCTTGAAAAGTCAAGTTACTCAACCTCTCTGGGCATCTTTATTTGTAAAATGAGGATAATCATAATACCTATCCCACAGACTTGTGAGAGTTAAATGAGATAATACATATCAAGCACTTTGAACAGTGTCTGACATACAATATAAACTATTTTCCTGCTGCTGCTGCTACTATTATTAGTATTATTATTAGAGACCAGCAAATCTTTTCCATTAAGAGCCAGATAATAAATATTTTAGGCTTCAGGGGCACACATAGTTCCATGTTGTCTAGTTTTCCTGTTTTTTTTTTAAATTTATTTTTTAAACATCGCTTCAAAAATGTAAAAGCCATTCTTAGTTCACAGGACATACAAAATTAGGCTAAGGGTTGTGTTCAGCCCATGGCCTGCACCTGCCGACCCCAGATTATGATCATTAAATTACTGGCTCCAGATCATAGAGCTTGGAGGCAACAAAGTCTCATGTAATACAAGGGATTCTGCCCACTTCTTCATGCCATCCAGTTTTTAATTTTGCCACACAGATGAGAAAACATACAAATACATGTAGGCCCATGTCAGCATACATTATGTTTCCAATGGCAATTTTTTGCTGGCACTGGAAACTGGGGCTATGTGGAAAATGGAAAAGCAATTTAAAGTCAGTGACATTTTTCTCTCCCAGGGGCCAAAAGGTGAAATACAAACTTCACATTATGCTTCTAGTGCAATTAGAGTAATTCATTTTGCATTCCCTTGGTGGAGTCATTTGATAACACTTGCAACTAGGACAAAATGAGCTTCTCTGGGCTGGGTCTACAGTCTCTTCTTATGAAACCTGTCAAGTTCATGAAATGCAGTGGTGAGAAAGGCTCCAGCACTGAAAACCATGTGCCCCATGAAGAGCACAGCATTTCAAACACAACTGTGAAGGAGGCTGGATGATTTCTAAAACAGCAAGAGCTGAGCGCCCATGAAAATCCACCTCACAGATCATGGGGATTTGCGGTTACATTGAAACCTAAGAAAAAGTTTTAATTTAAACAGGAAAATTCATATAATAAAATGCAGTATATTAAACAGCATGAGTCCAACTGCATATAAAAAGGAAAGTGTGTGGGGAATAAAAAGACTCATTAGAGTGGTTATCAGCGCTGTGGGGAGAGGGGATGGGGAGGAACCCGCTTATTGGGCATGCAGTTTCCTTTGAGGGTGATGAAAATGTTTTGAAAGTAGGTAGAAGTGGTGCTTGCTCAACATGGTGAATGTACTAAATGGCACTGAATTGTTCACTTTAAAATGGTTAATTTTATGTTACATAAATTTCACTTGAATTAAGAAAAGACACAGAAGGGGAAATACACTCTAGGGGATTTTTAGTTTCTTTTTCTTTTCTTTTCTTTTTTTTTTTTTACTATCCTGTACTTTCTGCATAGAATGTCATGCAACTACATCCTCTATCATGAGCAACATTCCTTTAGCATTCAGGAAATACCAGTCAACAGTATAAAAACACACTGTCCATGCAAATGTTTAAATGACCTTGTCAACATGGTCAGTGCAGCTGCAGAGAACCTGGGAGCTAAGCGGAGGCTTGAGGCCTCTTTCATCTTTGATACTCTCATCCAAAGAAATAACTTCACTGATACAGGTGACAAAATTCCCCGAAAACAACAGCAAATATCCTCTAGCTTCAGCTGCATGTTCCTGAAGAATCATTTTGACCAGGAGCTTTTAAGTAAGTCCAGCACTAAGAAAAATGCCAGCTAAAAATCCACACTTAATTCCTTATGAAAGTAGGGAGTTTCAAAAACAAACAAACAAACAAACAAACGTAGACCTTTTCAGGATTTCAGAGGCCTAGAGATGTGCCACAGAGACAGAACAGAGCTCGCCCCATGGACAAGCCCCTAAGGATCCTAAGTAGTATATGATCTCTGTCCTATTGCATCACCCATAGCAGGTCATGCAACTAACAGGTTCCTCAGAGAAAAAAATTTAAACAAATTCATTGTTCCTTTTTCTCCCTGATCCAAAGTAACCAGACCCTCAATTTCTGATTAGCTGTATCATCGTACTCCCAGTTAATCAGAATCAGAATCTGGTCTCTATTTTAGCTTCTCTAACTTTACCCAGGAACAAAACCTCTGGATTCCACACTGAATGTTTCTCAGATCTTTCCTTCTTGTGTAACTGATTGAAGCCGAGAACAACTGATTTTCTTGCATTCTATCTCAGGATCTCTCAACCTTTAATGTCCACAGGAAGTACCCAGAATGACTTCTGTCACCTCTCCAACCACAAAGCCTCCTATCCTAGTAGCTGACTCCTGGTGTCATGATGATGTAGTCCAGGTTAAGCTTATCTAGGGATTTCCATGTGTACACAAGTGTCCTGTCAAAGCAACTAACCTGGACCATCCTTGGCTCCTGGTACACTTTATTTTGCAAAGAGAGTGCTTCCTTAAGTTTTTTTGTTTGTTTGTTTTGTTTTTGAGATGGAGTCTCACTCTGTTGCCACGCTGGAGTGCAGTGGCGTGATCTTGGCTCACTACAACCTCCACCTCTTGGGTTCAAGCGATTCTCCTGCCTCAGTCTCCTGAGTAGCTGGAACTACAGGCATGGGCCACCACGCCTGGCTAATTTTTGTATTTAGTAGAGACAGGGTTTCACCATGTTAGCCAGGATGGTCTCGATCTCTTGACCTCATGATCCACCTGCCTCAGCCTCCCAAACTGCTGGGATTACAGGTGTGAGCCACCATGCCCAGCCAGTCCTTCCTTAAGTCTTATAAGAGAAAGTGACTTCAAAGGACACATGGTGCAATTCCTTTCTTTAACAAATGAGGATTAAAAAGATTAATATAATTGAAATGATTTGTCCAAGTTCAGGTTTCATCAAAAAAATATTCCTGGATGAATAGCTGAATGAAGAAATAAAGGAACAAACAGGTATCTTTCATTTAAAATGCCAATAAGGTGAACACAATAAGTCAATATTAGCATTCACTTTAGTGCAAGTGTGTTAATGCTACATGGTGCCTGATGTCTATAGCTATGGTTCTAAATGATCCACAGACATGTTTGTCATTTTGCACAATGTTTAAAAAATGAGTTGCCAACATTTTAATATCAAGAGATTTCATGTAAAAAATCCACGTTAGTATTAAATGGACATGAAAACAATCTAGAAACCTCAGGCCCATGTTTTGGTAGTTGGAAAACTAGCTGGAAATAAGTGAAAGTGCCCCCCTCAACAGCGTATGTGCACTCCAACTTGCTAAAGTCCACACCCTCCCGTATTTGTCTTTGCCTGACATGTTTTCAGCTATTCACATCATTTCCCTGGCTCCCACAGGCATCTGAGTTCACAAAATCTGGTCTAAAGGAACTATCACTTTTGGTGATGCACAAATAAATAATTCAGAGTTCAGAGAGCGCCATCACGGATGAGACACTGAGGTAGCAGCTGCTAGGAGAGATGGTCTTGCAAGAGCAAATGAGAACTGGCAGGCAAGGAAGAAGGAGCCACAGAGGAAAAAGGTGGTCATGGGAGGCCCCAGGAGACTGATTTCACCAGCTCCACAGATTCTCTGATGACCACAGCCCATGTAAGGCAGAGACTGGTGGTCCGTAAACTCAACCCAGCAATAGAAATAACAATAAAACCCATTATCCTTATTTGGCAAAAAGAAAACTCTTAGGTGGGATGGGACATTTAAACTTAAGAATATGCACTCAATTATTTGTTCTGATTCACAGCTCTGCACTCCGGACAGCTTAATGCCCCCCCTCATTGATTTGTTTCCAATGAACTCAGAAGAGCTTCAAGAAAAACAATTAACAAGAAAATGTCAACTTTCAGTCTTGGAAACGTTAAAGAAACCCAAAACAAAACAAAAATTAACACAGAGACCTACACACTCATCCCACATTTGAGCCTCAAAAACTGTTGAAGCAATGTGGTGAAGAAGCTTTTATTAATTAGTATACTGGGGTTTGGGTGATCAATAGGCAGTTCAGATTTACAATTTAGCTGCTTTAGTATTCAGCAGGCATCAGCTCAGTTGAGCCTGGGCATCAGACCACTAAGTTAATGTAAGTTCTTTAAGGCCTCTGCAAGTAAAGCAGGATATAAATGTTAGTGATTGAGCTTTTCTGCTTAGCAGTGATTCTCTAACTTGAGTGTGCATAAGAATCACTTGGAAGGCCGCTGAAATCCTAGCTTTCTGATTCAGTAGGGTGGGGCAGGGCCTGGGAATCTGCATCTCTAATAAGTTCTCAGGTATTGAGAGCCACTGGCCTATACAGTATAATTAAAACTGAATTTTAAGAAATGCAATAGCCTTTCTAAGAAGTCCCCAGACGAGGCTGAAGCCTCTGATCCCTTGGGGTAATGCTGTGGTTAAATATCAGTAGAGGAACTGGTTGCAGGGCTTGGAGGCTTTGCAGGATGTTAGCAAAGCCAGGAGGACTCAATTTAAATAGAGAATCAATTTTTTTTTTAGTGAAACAAAGAATAAATTCCTTCTTCTGGAACCATTGCAGTAAGTCTTTCACTCAACACAATTCAAGTTTAGCAAAGCAATTTTGACTTTCAGCCCAATTTGTTAAAATAATATTTTATTACTGGTAACAAATAACCTGACTTTATCTTTTTGTACACAAAAGAATACATAATATTTTTGTAATTTAATTTCTATAGTAGTTATTTACATGCTTATTTGATGACTTGATTACAAGGCATAATTTATGAAGTTTGCCAAATATTTACAAACCTGCATAAAGTATAATGAGCAGTCTGGTCTAAACTCAATCCCAATATTTGCATTTTGAACGTCATAATAACAGCTTATTTTTTGTAATCAAAGGAAAATTCAACTTGGTATAGAATAACAGATTTATTTATGGAGATGTTGAATGAGGCCTGCATTTCCATCTTACGTCTAGTGACTGTGATTTCAGTTTGCTGTGCAGTGCCAGCTGTAACTTATTAATGAAAGACATCTGAACTGCCTTCAACTTTGCTAGACACCAAAATCCTTCCAAGCTAGTTGTATTCTGAGCGAGGAAAAAACAAAAGAAAACATGAGAGGAACTAAAGTTGCTTTTCTAATGAAATTAACTTATTAGAATGCTCATATTCAATTATTTCTATAGTGCCTTGTAAAACAGTGAGCAAAAAGATGAGAATGATTCCAGGAAAAAAAAAAGAGCTTTATTTCAGTTTAGAAAAAAATGGGAAAATACCTTCATTTGGCTGTATTTATTCTTTTTTTGAGATGGAGTTTCACTCTTGTCGCCCAGGCTGGAGTGCAGTGGTGCAATCTCGGCTCACTGCAACCTCCACCTCCTGGGTTCAAGCAGTTCTCCTGACTCAGCCTCTGGTGTAGCTGGGATTACAGGCATCTGCCATCACACTGGGTAAATTTTTTGTTTTTGTTTTTTTTTAGTAGGCTGCATTTATTCTTAACTGTTTTAAGCTTTATGATGTATAAGACTCGCCTATTAGCGAAAGGTGTACTAGGTTTGGGGTAAATATGACAGCAATTTGTTAGTAATTCTTTTTAACAGGCAGTTGTTTAGGAGAGGAAATGAAAGCTAAATTCTCTAACTGTAACGACAGGAAGGATTTAGGTAAGCAGGACATAATGATCCAAACTGGAAAGAGGCCAGGACACCAGGGTCAAAACCTCCAGTCTCGTCATGGATTCTTAGCAGCAGCGCTATTACATCCTGAAATGTGGCTCTAAAAATAACACACGGGATCCCAGAGTTCTGTCTTTCCTTTAGACTATCATTGAATCACATTTTCTCAGTCTTGTTGTCAAAGGATCATCTTCCTGTCTGTTCTAACAACTGAACTGTACAAACTTGAGTTGCACAACATTAAGGTTTATACACCTTTATCACTTGGGTTGGAATTCATTTAGTCAACATAAATACCTCAATAGAATAGGTTTTTATTGAGCACTCACTAAGTGTCGGGCACTGACAGTTCTAGATGTTGCAGATACAGCAGTGAACAGAACAGTGCCGTCCTGCAGACAGAGGAAGAAAATAAATGAATAAATGGATATTATGGTAAGTAAGTCGTGCTAAGAAGAAACACAGAGCAGGAAAAGGAGTGAGGAAGTGCCGAAGGCTGGTGAAATGGGGAGCTCCTGCTAAGACAATTTTCCAGCAGACACGTGAGGGCTGTGGGGGAGAAAGCTCTGTGTGTAACTGGGAAAGAGCACGATACAGACAGAAGGAACAGCAAATGCCAAGTCCCAGAGGCTGGAAGAAAATGCGTAGGAGGAAAGAGAGAGATTAAGGTAGAAAGGGGAAGGGAGGTGGGGATGATATCTAGCAGGGCCTTGGAGGGTTCTGAGCAGTGGAGTGATGTGATCTGAATTACATTTTAAAAACATCCCTCCAGCTGCTGTTTTTAGACTAGACCAAAATGGGCAAGGCTAAGGAAAAGAGACCAGTTAGATACCTCTTGGGGCACAATAGGGAAGAAATGATATTGGCCTGGACCATTGGCCTGGGCCACTGTGTCGTGATGACGTTGGTGAGGAGCAGCTGGATTCTGGATACCTGCTGAGGGTAGAGCAAACAGTATTTGTGAACAGACTAACATAGGACACAAGAGGAAGGTGTTCATGGTCTCTGCAACTGAGAATGGTCTCTGCAACTGAGAGCACATTTGTTGAGATGAAAATGACTGTGGGAGAAGCAGGTGAGAAGAGTTGAAAGCTTTGATTTGGGACTTACCGGTAGAGGAGAAAGGTATATAGAACTGAGCACAAATCTCCTAAATAGGTAAGAGTGGCAACACAAACGTATTTACTCTCAAAGCAGAGAGAGAAGCTGAAGAAAAGACAAGGTGAGCTACCAAGGTGTCTCTTAACAATGCTGTTATCTTTTACTGAAAAAAGCACAATCATATTTTCAGAGTCATATGCACTGGAAAGTATTTTGTATTTATTTAAAATTCAACCCTGAGAAACTCAGGTTTCAGATAATATTTTATTGACTCTTAAAGCACCCACTTGAATATGAAAAAAAAACTATCAGAGACCCTCTTTGAGAAGTAGAAGAATACAGAAGGGAAAATGGCTTGCTGAAAGTCAGGAAAGCTTCCTCCACATGGAACATGGTCCTTGGTATAAAAGACACTAAGTTCAAAGTTTACCCTTTTGCCTAGATTAAATGTTGGGTTAAGTGAATTATTCCAAATGGTCAGATCTTAAGTGTAATAAGAGCCTAGGAATTAAAAAAAAAAAGACTCATGAATCTCATAGGATACTCATAAGCAAGTTCTGTACTAGAAACTCACTTAACTTACATTTCACTTGTCAGACCAAGACTCATCAGGTGTTTATAAGACAAACAAAATACACAGATTGCCCAGGGAGTGCTGGACTCTCCCAGCCAGCAAGCCACTTTCCAATATTTTGTACTCTTTTACTCTCACCTTACATGTCTACCATGGGTTACTTTTGTTTTCAAACCTATTTATTGTCAGTTGTCATAAAAATTGCGTAAACCAATGACACGATCTTGTGGAAAGAAAGGGCATTGTTGTTTCTCTAGCTGAATATTTTGGGAAGATTTCTTTAAAGGCAAGTTGCCAAAAATATTTTTCTCAAATTCCATGTAGACAAGATAACTAAAAGATTAGGGAAAAAAGTCACAGAACTGTAGGATTTTGCATTCCATTGCACTCTGCCCAATGAGTGTCCTTAGTCTCAGATCCACCTTAAAGAAACCAAACTGGCTATCTGAGGCATTCAGAGTAAAGTACAGGGGGAAAAAAAAAAAAAACCCCAAAACATAAAAGCCACGCAACAGATCCACAATTAATGAAAAGGCTTGTCCCTAACATTAAAAGATTAGTCAACAATAGAACAACATTTATATGCCTTAAGTTACAGTGTTTAAGGTATATATGAATTAATTTTAAAAAATGATTACTTGCTCGAATTGACTTTTGTGATAAACTGACCAAAAATGCACCTTCTCATTGCATGGGCTAAGTAAGAGGGCTGTTAGTATATTTCATGGCCCCCTGATTCTAGGCTCCTAGGCTATACTCACGTTTGAGTAGAACCACTCAGTGAGTCACAAACACTATTTCATGTACCCTGGGAAATCTCTACATTTCTCATTGGCCCAATTTGATTTATGTATCCTGCCATCATTTCGAACTGAGGTAATTATATCTATGTGTATTTCATATAAAGACTTTCACTTTGATGGCTTGTGTGTTCTATTAGGAATAGAAACACATATAGAGGAATAGAAATAAAACGGTGGTGATGGAGAAAATGTTGTCAATGCTGAAGGTGGTAAATATGGTTATTTTAAGTTTTGAGATAAGGAAGGGGGCAAGAGTATCCACATGCAGGTATATTTGGTGGAAAAATGTACTCAATATTTTCTCCAGTGTCAATCAACCGAAAGGACAATGCACTGTCCAGTTTGGACAATGAGATTTATATTTATTTATATATTATGCTATTAATGAAATTCGATGTAATAGTTCCCAGAAGCTGAAACACTTAGTTTCTTCAGTAAGAGCAGGCTCAAATAGTATTGAGTTTGAATAAAAAATCCAATACAGAATTATTTTTTAGTTCTTAACTGGCTAGCTGCTCTTAAATTTCAATGGCAATAATACTAGGAGAAAACCTTCAAATCTTCCCTTGAAGTATACATCCCCCCACCCCCAACCCTCAAACATATATCACTGGTCATGGAACAACATGGGTTTGAACTATGTGGGCCCACTTATACATGGATTTTTTTTCAGTAAAAGTTACACCAATGTGCCTGCCTCTCCTGACTCCACTTCCACCTCCTCCACCTCTGCCACCCCTGAGACACCAAGACCAACCTCTTCCTCTTCTTCCTCCTCTGCTTACTCAACGTGAGGATGATGAGGATAAAGACTTTTATGATGATCCACTTTCAATTCATGAATAATATATTTTTTCTTCCTTATGATTTTCTTATTAACATTTGCTTTTTCTCTAGCTTACTTTATTGTAAGAATACAATAGGTAATACATATACCATACAAAAAGTATGTGAATTGACTGTTAATATTATCATAAGTCTTTCAGTTAACAGTAGGCTATTAAGTTTTGGGGGAGTCAAAAGTTATACATGGATTTTCGACTGCACAGGGGTATGGTAGCTCTAACCCCCACATTGTTCAAGGGCCAACAGTACACATCCATAATCTACTCAAGGGTATGTTTCAGAACGTGGTTCTTAGAATGGGCCAAGACTAACAGCAACCAAATTATGGAAAGCAAAAACATTATGGGATTTACTGATTTGAGCCATCTCCCCAGGACTGTATTTGCTCAGGGCACAGAGCAAAGTGGGTGCAGCATATAGGGCATGAGAAGACCTGGTTTTAGGTTGGACTCTGGCCCAGCTTGCTGTGTGGTCTCAGAGTTCCTTTACCTCTCTAGCTTCATTTTTCTCATCTGAAAAATGAGGTGAGAAGCCCTTCCTAAGGTCCATTTCGAACTCTAAAATTCTTGGCCTCTGTCATCCTAATAGCTAACACATATTAAGGGCTTTCAATAAGAAAGGCAGTACACAAAGTGCTTCCCACGTCATAACTCATGTAAGCCTCACAATCATCCTAAGAGCAGATATTCTAGTACTGTTCCCATTTTACAGATGAAGAAAATGAGGCACAGAGAGGTCCAGCGTATATCTGCTTCACATAGCTGGGAAGGGGACGAGCAAGGATTTGAACCCAGGCAATGTGGCCCCAAAGCCCCAATACTTGAGCTCATACTGCATCATCCTGTTTCTTGTAATATGAATTGGTAATTAGAGAAGGAGTTGATCTCAGAAGAGTAATAAAAGAACTTGAAGGCACTGCAAAATCTGTTCTCCCAAAGTGAGGTGACCTGAACGATAGCATAAAACCACCACAATAAGGACAGAACCAAACACTCTTATGTGACATCGAGCATCCACTTCTGCCTCCAGAGCTACAAAACAGGAGTTCTCAAACTTCACCACACATCCGAGTCACCTGGAGCATCTTGTCAAAAATGAAGATTCAGGATCAGAACATCTGGGTGGGCCTGAGACTCAAATGTGTAACAAGCTCCCAGGAGGGGTCTGTACTTCTGGAATGAGGACCATACTTTGTGAGTGAGGGTAATGGAGCTTGGATGGTTTAGGGGTCAACAGAACTCAATTCTGCCATAAGTTATCCTGGATTCATGGTTAAGTTTTGTAATCTCAGTGTCCTCAAATGATCTTCCCTGTACATTTCCTGTTAGCTCTAAAATTCAATATTTCTAATGATATTAGAAATTCAACCTACACTGAGTTTCCACTTGTTGGAACCCTCTCTCATTCAACCTACACTGAGTTTCCAATTATAGGGTTAATGAGAAGACAAAATGCCTCCCCATTCCCCCAAACCCATGTTTCTGCCATGGAAAGTGAAGGCTTAGTCCTTTTCACACACATTACAGAAAGATAATGGGAGCTCTGTACAGAGGTAAAATCACCCTGTAAACACATGATTAGCAGACAAAATATTTACGAGGCTTTCTACTTCTTCGAGAAGTCTCTTTGAGACTCACTTGCCAGGGCAATGGTATGCTGGATATGGTATTAAAAGACTGATCTTAACCCAATATTTTAATAACTTATTGGGAGGGGGGGTTTGGATTTCTTAACCATCCAGACCCGTACTGCCCACCCAGTATGGTGGCCATTAGCCATATGCAGCTACTGAACACCTAAAATGTGGTTAGTCTGATTTGAAAATACACATCAGATTTCTAAGACTTAGTATGAGCAAAAGAATGTAAAATATGTCACTAATAAATTTTATATTGATCTCCTATTAAAATGACAATATTTTAGGTCTACTGGGTTAAATAAAATATTTTATTAAAATTAATTTTACCTGTATCTTTTTACTTTTAAAACCCAGCTACAAGAACAATTTAAATTATATATGTGGCTCACATTGCATTTCTACTGGGTGGTACTGATCTAGACCTTTGTCACTCAAACTGTAGTTGTCAGATGAGTAGTATCCATGCCACCTGGGAGCTTGTTAGAAAAGGAGAATCTTGTCCCCACCTCAGACCTATTGAATCAGAATCTGCATTTTAACAAGAGCTCAGGGGATTCTGGTATACACTCAAGTTGGAGAAGTGCTGGACTAGTATCCCTACAACATATCGTAGTAGGTATTTGGGTTGTTGGCCCACAGGAGTGACATGCTAAAAGGGTATTTTAATTGCTGATTTTCTACAGAAACATGTCAGCAAAGCAATGCTAACTTTTAAATTACCATACAATTTAAGTATATAAAAATATAGCACGCATAAAATTAAACACACAACATATATACATGGTGGGGAAGAGAAGGAGGCCATTTAACTGAAGCTACCTTAGTTACTTCTGGATTTTCAGCCACCATGTAGGTAAAACTAATGTTCACTAGATCTGTGCCACTGCAGACACAAACTATCCGCCCTTCCAGATCATTTTCTGATTTTCCAACAGCTTCAAGAGCAGCCAAGATTTTGGGATCCTGTATAGAGGTACACAGATAGAAAAAAAAATAAGTTACATCACAGAGCATGGAGGAAGAAACGTGGTAAAAAGAAACCACATTTAATGTAAAAATAAACATAAGGGCCCAGACACCTAGCATTATTCTAAAACCTGTAGAGGTGAAATTTGTAACACTATATATTCCTTGAAATCAACTGATAAGAAAGGTATTACAAATTTTTTGGTTGGGGGAGGTACAGAGTCTCTGCTCTGTCACCCAGGCTGGTGAACAGTGGTGCATTCTCAGCTCACTGCAACATCTGCCTCCCAGGCTCAATGGATCCTCCCACCGCAGCCTCCTGAGTAGTTGAGACTACAGGCACATGCTAACACACCCTAATTTTTGTAATTTTTGTAGAGACAGGGTTGCACTATGTTGCCCAGGCTGGTCTCAAACTCCTGGGCTCAAGGGATCTGCCTCCCTCTGCCTCCCACAGTGCTGGGAGGTGTGAGCCACTGTGTCTGGCCTAAATTTTTGATTTAGAAACTAGATATGAGGGTCTTTGTTTAGAGTTTTGATTGTAGTTATTGGAGGACCTGGAATATGGCAATTGGATAGAAGAGCCTTTTATTAGGGTCTGCTTGTCCACAAAGCCTCTCTCTCACCAGAGGAGAGTCACAGAGGTTTCATGTGAATAAATGTGACATTACCACAACCAGCAACCACATGCTATTCTCAAAACTGAGATCAAATGTTTTAAGTAGCCTGGATACAAAGAGTGAGTTTTTTATCTCTAGAAGCCATGGCCATTTCCAATATAAGTAAATCCGTGTTTAGAAAAGCAAATACCAATCACAGGTACCTTTGGTATGGCTCCCGACCGAATACTGTTGATGAGGGAGCATTCTAGCACCTGTCCTTCCTGAAGAGAGAGAATACAACACAGCAATGAGCTTAAATTATGCCATACCTATGATACAGGCAAACTGCTTGGCAAAAATTTCTGATGATGAAGGCAGTGCTGATTACAGTCAGCTTGAAGAGGGAATTAAAACCATGTAACAATAATTATTGTAAATAATCAGAAATAATCAAGACCCCAAGTATTCCATTTCACATATATATATATACATACATATAGACATATATATGTGCAATGCTGAATATAAAAATGTTTCTAAAATCTGTTACTTTTATATATAAAACATTGTTAATAATCATTAAATACATGTGTGTACATGAAATGTGAGAAAAATGCTAATTTTTATATAACTTTAATTCTTTTCTTAAATTCAGCTCAATTGTTCATTAAATGTGGACACTGTACCATACATCGAATTAAGTCCCAGGGTATAATGAGATGAACACACTTTTAATGTACCTTTTAGATTTCAGCTTGAGCATCTCTTCTTCTGGCAGATTTCTTTCTAACTCCCAAGATTAAATTAAGCTCTTTGACAATCCAGTGTTCTCTTTCACAACATTCAATGACTTGTAACTTATTTTTTAATGCCTGACATTGCTCCTAGACTGGAATCTATGAGGATAATGTCCTTAATCATCACTGTATACTTCAATGCCTGGCACATGTAGGCACATTTTTAAAAATCTTGAATGAATGAATAAGGGTAGGGTTCATCAACAGCACTCAGTCTACTTGTTGAGAAACAAAATGGCTTAAACCACAAAGCAGAAAGAACAACTTGCTCTTCTTGGGCCATACCTTGCCTTCACTTCTCCATGTCAGAAAGAAGCCAAACTCATCCACTTTGAAGAGGCAGTTGGGTTCAAACACAAAGGATTCCTGTCAAAAAGAAATGTGTTGATCTTCATGACTCACACCATTTTGAATCTAATAAAAATGAAAATATTGCTGAGCTTCTAAACAAATTAGAAATCACTCTTTTGTATGTAATATCCACAATTCTTATTGTATTATGGAATGTTTTCATTTTGAAAACTCTTTGCTTTCAATTTTGTATTGTAAAACTGATCAATTTAATAAAACATCTTGCTCTAGGATAGGTTTAAGAACAAAGCATACTGACTGAAAGCATGAAAGTCATAGAGAAGAAAGTTTCCTTAATATCTTGGAAGAAGGATTCCCAAGTTCTAGCCCACTGATGTCAAAAATCAGGAGATACATTATTTTTTAAGTCACTGGTTTTTGTTTTGTGTTTTTTTTCTTTTTTTTTTTTGTCTGTAAAATCTAGCATTCAGATATTTGCTGAGATTTTTGCTTTTTTATCTAACCTCATTTGGTGTCCTGTAAAGCGCATCTTGAACAGCCCCTAGAGCTAAAGTGTAGTCACTAGACCAGCAGCATCAACATCAGCTGGGAGCTTTACTGAATTGCAGAATATGAGGCCCCAGTCCAGATGGACTGAGTCAGAGTCTGGGGGGATGTGACCCAGCAATCTGTGTTCCAACAAGCCCTCTAGAAGATTCGAACACACACGAAAGTTTGACAACCATTGCTTTGAATTTTGACACCAGAAACTCAGGGAAAGCTACAGAATGACGTTTGAATGAAGAAGCAATATTAGCCAAATTCAAGGCATCAGAGCATCTGTGTTACACTTGCCAACTGACTTCTTGTCTTATTAGAGCACCACTGTGCTTAGGAATGAGAGGAAAAATCCATGTGAATGAAAGAAAAAGGGCATTTGGGAAATGAACATAGATGTCCTGTGCCCTCTGACTGCATTACACCAATACTTAGCATTCACACTTCAACAAATCTACATGTTCTTTTCATGAGCTGAAGAAACTGGCTTCCTAGATCATTTCAATGCCAGCAATTAGGAACCTGTCTGGCAAACATGGATCAAGGCAGTGCCTTAAAACAAATAAATAGTAATTACAGGATTAAGGTTTTAAGGGCCGTTCAGACTCTTAGTTTCACCTGTTAAAATTTATCTTTCTAAATTACAGGGGAACAACAACATTTATCAAGGTAAATCCAATGCCAAGATACTAGGCCATCATAAAGTAGTCCTAGGGGTCCCTGAACAAAGCAGCCTTCAATTTGGGTAGTTTTCTGGCAGATGAAGTATTACTGTATGTATTTATGTATTCCAACTCTGTATCAGGCGTGTGCTCTGTACTGCTGTCATTGCCATGAATAAGACCAAAGGAAAGGGCATGGTATAATTTTTGCTTTAGGAGTTAAAACCCAGTTCCACCATTTGTTATGTACTCTCTCCCAGAAAGACCCTTTCTAAATTTCAGAATCCTTGTCTAACAAGTGGAAGTAGTTCCACCTACCTTTTGGGTTTATTGCTGGAATTAAATGAGATGGTGAACATAAAGCACATAACACAGAATTCCAATTCAGCAAGTAATAGCTCTACCAACAATGCATGGTTCAGACTTGTAATAGTGGTAGCAAATTATTAACAATATGAAAGTGCCAGTATATGACATTTTTTGACCCTTCAAAATGGCATTTTTGGACAGTTCAACCTTTTAGAAAAGGCTTAACCCAGAAGTTGATACTTTAGATGAATCTTCATGCCAGGCAGAGTGAGCAGCTATTGACCTCACATTAGAAATTTGTTTGTGTGGCTAGAGCACTTCAAGAGAATGACAGGGGGTGTGATGGGACATGTATAGAAGAGTTGTTTCATTGCAAGGGTCTTCCGTGCCACCTGAAAAGCATTAGCTATTACCCAAAAGGCCATGGCGGGTCTTATGTTGTTACTGACTAAAAAAATGAGAATTATCAACTAATCAAGACATAAGAATTAGCCCATTTCCAAATATATCCCAATGAATATCCTGACGGCAATGAAGAATTTTGGTACACAGTGTACAAAAGTACATCGTAAAATGGTGTTTACAGAGTAGATCCACAAAGAATCAGCCACTATCATTCTTATGTGCACCCTATCACCTAATTCCAAGTAAGGATTTGAGATGATTCATGAAATACAAATAATAAATAAGAATGGGTTTCCAACTTATTTTGAGAGTGAACTTTCACTTCCTTGGCCTCCTTAAATACAAAATTCTTTTCTTCCTTCCCCCCTGAGTACCCCTAGAGCTTGCCATTACCACCTGGACATTTCAATTCCTAATATCTCACTCTTGGAATTCCATCTGGTCCTTCTAGCCCCTAGCTCTACAGTTCTCCCCTCCTATATTTGACTTCTTTGCAAAGTCAAATATCCCTTTTGATTATCCCTGCCAATCTCTCACTACGCACCAGTTCCCTCCTCCTTTTACTTCCATCCTTATCTAGCTTATTTCCAAAGCAGCCCAATATTGCAATCACTCCCTCACAGGTGGTTCGCAACTTCCATGTCTCATTTAGTGTTTTCTTGGCCAAAAAACGAAGTCTATTTTATGCATACTTTATCACCAAACTTGGTGGTGAAAATCACAAAATGGAACTGTCTGGCTTTAGTTTAAATTCAAGATTATAAACCTCAAATGGATAGTCAACAGTGACGTTTAATCTTATATTTCCTTCTCAATGGTTACTTACTACCCCACTTACTACCCCATGTCCCTGATCCTCTTCAGGACATAATATCTTAGAAATATTCACTGTTTCCATTACCTCTCTTCATACCATCTGAGCAACTCTATCTGGCTTCCATTTCTATCACCCTCTAAAACTTCTCTGGCCAGTCCAGCATGCTGCAAAATAGGAGTGCACACCTTCCTTTCCTCACCTGAGTTGATCTCTGAGAGTTTGATTATTCCTTCCTTCTTGAAACACTCTCCAATCCTGGTTGTGCTCCATTACCTTAGTCTAATTTCCCGCCTTTTCCTTCTGTACTCAACTTTTACATAGTCCTCAGGACTTGGTTCTGGGAATTCTCATTTCCACTGTGTTCCTAGATTTCATTCAATCTTGTGTCTACAATATCATCTATTTCCTGATGACCCTCAAATTTGTAAGAGCAGCCCCATCCTCTCCTCTGTGAGTTCAAATATTTGCTATTTGACATCTCCACTAGGATGTCTTGAAATAAGTATGTCCATAACTGAACTCTTTATTCTCTCCCCTCCAAGTTTCTCCATCACAGTACTTCCTTAGTTCCATAAATGTCACTAGCATCTGGTCACTTATTGAAACTAAGAGTCATCCTTAATTTTCCCTCATCTTTTCCTCTCACTTTCAGTAGCAAGTCTTCTTCTATAATATTTCGAATACACACCCACTTTACTCCCTCTCCATCACCACCCACCTTGGCCCAAACCAATATTATCTCTCCCATGGATTGATCTTCTCACTTCTGCTTTTTCTGCTGCCCATAGGAGCCAGATTGATTCTTTAAACTTTGAATGAATTTATTAAAACCATTCAATGGATTCCTATCATATTTAGGATAAAATCCCAACTCCTTACCTGGCCGAAAAGGTCCTGAACGATCTGGGATCCTTCAAATTTTATCTCATGCCACTCTCTGTTCTTCCTTCTATTTCTTGTTCACAACCATAAAAACTCTTTTCCTGCAACCCCTCAAGCTCTCTCTAGCATCAGGGCCTTTGCACTTGCAGTTCCTCTTGCTCAGAAGTCTCTTTCTACTGCCCTTGGTGCATCAGGCTCCTCTTCATTCTACAGACCTTGTCTTCATTATCCCCTCCTCAGAGAGGCTCTCCCTGATCCTTGATTTACTGACTGACTCCCACACCAGAATGCAACAACCTCCAAGAGGGCAGAGTCCTTGAAGCAGTCTTGTTTACCTTTGTGTTCTAGCACCTAGCACATCAAAAGCACCATAAAACTAACAAATTAACTTAAAAATAAATGAAAAAATGAATTTTTTTAAATAAAAGATTTTGCAGCAGGCCAATATGTAAAACAAATAAACAAGAAGTTGCTCAAATTGAGGGGGCTGCATCAGGCCCAGAACCCAACAAGGAAGTCCTTGGAAGACTGCCAAGGATAGAAGTGCAATTACAAGGGCACTGGTTGAGGCCGTCTGCCTAAAGGCAGGAGTCCCTTTTTGTAATGCATACAAACTCATCTTCGAGGTTGGGGGTGACTTTGAGGCACGTCCTGGGAATTCCTATTGAACCAGGAGCACTGTTTGACACTGTGAAGAAATCATTTTCAAAATAGGATGAGAAATCTGGGCAAAGAGAAGAAAAATAAAGTGGAATAGTAAACTAAGGCCAGAGTAAAAGGCAGCTCTCTGAAATGCCTGTCATAAGGTCCTACACAGTTATAGCAGGATAGCAACTTGGCTCTGGGCTCCCCAGCAACAAAAGCAAAAAAGGGAAAAAAAATATTTACCAGGTGCCCATCCAGCTCATAAAATAAAAACGTATCAGTTGTTAAGAGAAGCAATTATCAGAATAGAAATTCTCCAGGGGGATCTTAGAATGAAACCCAGCTGACACTAAAGACCAGGCTCACGACAAAACCCACAATCAGCTCATCAACTGTGGCTGAAAGGTTCTTGGACCAAATGCTTCAAACCACCCATGAAAATTCACAGAGCAAATCTGAGGGATGAGAGGTAATCAGCTGAAAGGAACTAAAACACAATCTAATTTGGTTTCTCACCACCTCCTACTAACAAACATAATAACCCTACCCTCTGGTGAGTAAAGACACATCATGTCTATTCTTTTTTCCCTAACAGCAGTTTTAAATTTCACATGAATCCCTCCTGACCTGAAAGTGGGCTATGGCTCCCTGACCAGATTGAGGCCAGGCTATTGTGAAGTCCCATTGTCAGAAAAATCCTCCTCCAGATCTGGGCCCTGCAGGGGAGATCATAAAAGAAAGCTGGAATGTTTCTCCTTTGGGAATCTATTTGTTTTGCAGTTAAATGGTAACAGAATTTTCTGGTAAAGAAACAAACCATAAGAGAACTTCCTTGGGGGGTGGGCAGAATTTTAATTCTCATATTAGTTAAAATTCATCAGTCACGCCTTAGAGCTCAAGGACACGTTAGCTCATCCAGCCCAACTCTTAGGCCACTAGAGAGCAAGGCTAGAAAGGGACAGGAACACCTTTTGTGAAACTACTTAAGCAGAGGCCAGAGGGCATTCTGTTTGAGAGTCTAGAATCACTTTTGCTGGAGATCACCATTGCTAGAAGCTATTTCTGGCTCAGAGATCCCCACTCTGAGGGGTTTGTGCCACTACAGGCTTACAGAGACACTTCCCTCTCTTATCAAAGATAGAGTATGTTTTTCACTTGTGTGTTATTTTTAGTATATTTTCCCTCACACATGCTGTTTCAACATTAATCAATATCACAACCTATTTTTCAAAGATTCAAGTTACTTTCAAATCAACTAACATTAAACATTTTTCCTTTATTTCAATTTTTAAAGTGATTCTGTTCAATAAAGTTTAATCCCCTCATAAGGAATGTCAGAGAGTTCAGCAGGCCAAATACTCTGATTGAAGTGGAGAAATTCCTTGGATGGGGATACAGCTAAGTGGTAGCTGATTTTATTTTAATTGTGAGTTGTAGTTATTTCTTACCCTTTCTCTCTTGCCCTCTCTCTCGCCATCACTTCCTAAGTTAACTGCAAATGTCTGTATCTTATACTGTGGAGTTGGCATCTTCAAATAGGGCATAGTCAAGTCTTATTACCAGCTAGGGACAGCTATTTTGGACCAGATCATAAAAGCTTTAACTCTACCTTATTTAAACATGAGTTGGCCAGGGGCTTTTCTGTGTTTGTCACTGGACAGATACATTAGGACGTAGAGAAATGTGAAATGGAGTAGGCATTCACATTCCATCACAAAACTGCGTTTTCTGGGAAAGAAAACCTTCAGAAGAGGTGGCAGTCCACAGTGGTTTTGAGATCCAGGCCTTGTAGTGGTTGGTTCCTGGGTTTGCATGTCAGCCTCCTCACCAGGCAACTGCTGGAGAATCTTGCAGTTATTCTGCTTAACCTTGCCATATTTCACTTTTCCTAGCTGTAAACTGGGAAAACTGATACCGACTCACAGGGCTTTCAAAGAATTAATATTG
This sequence comes from Homo sapiens, assembly GCF_000001405.40. Taxonomy (NCBI): domain Eukaryota; kingdom Metazoa; phylum Chordata; class Mammalia; order Primates; family Hominidae; genus Homo; species Homo sapiens. Next base: position 9,330,975 of record NC_000020.11, on the reverse strand, counting down.
AGAATGTCTAAGTACCTGGGACAAAGTAAATGCTGACTAAATGGTCGTACTTATGAGAAAATAGCTACAATTTTAGGGCTCTTGTTGTGAGGTATTTCACAAATACTATCTCACATAAATCTCATGATAACTCTGCAAGGTTTTAGACTAGATCAACATTGTCCAACGGATTTACCGTGATGATGGAAATGTGCCAGATGGGTTCTGCCCAATACGTTCACCATGAGCCACAGGGAGCACTTGAAATGTGGGTAATGCAACCAAGTGCTGAATTTTTTATTTTAATTAATTTTTCATTTAAACAGCCACAATGTGGTTAGTGGTTACCATATTGGCCAATGCGGTTTCAGAGAGAAGGGGGGAAAAAGGTTCAGAGGAGACTAAATTATTCAAAGCCACAGTCAAATAGTAACAAACCTGAAATTCAAGCCAGCTTCTCTGATTCCAAAGCCCATGCCTGTCTGACTTGGGCAAACTTGACCAAGCAGGGCCCCTCTGCCTATCGCCAGAAGATTGTTGGACGGTCAATAAACGAACACTGCCTAGGTAGACTCCACTAGGTACATATGAGACTCACCCTCCTTGCTTCCTGGTTTGATAAGAATGGAGAGGAAGTTAAAAAGACCTTGTCAAGGTTGGAGAGAAACAAAGAGGAGTCTGAGGAAGAGGCCATAAAGGATCTCATTCAATTTAAATCACATTATGCGTGACTACCACCAAAGAGACCTCATAAACCAGGGAGAATGATGGGTGTGGCCTTCAGACTGGGAAAGCAGGTGGAGTCTGGTTTGGAATTAACCAAGAGGTCTAGCTTTCTATCAGATCCTGAAAGCTCAGAGCCCAAGAGATGCTTTATGGCTTATTTATTTCCTCTCCTTATTCCAGGGAAATGCTTTAAGCTTCATACCTAGCAGATCCTTTGTGATTCTGCACAAACACCGCCTCTCTCAGAACCACAAATTTTTATTTTTTTCAAGTTAAACTAAAGCCCTCAGTGATAACATCCTGCCATCAGAATGATTTATGGACTGATGTAATAGATGGGCATGGGTCCTTATTAAGTTGCTTTTACCCTCATGAGCTTGGTCTCTTGCTTGGAAGGATATAGAATGTTCATTCCATTTGTGCCTCTCCTATCTGCTTTAAGATCCCAGGAGATAAAGGACACTGGGCCTCTCAGCTCACATTCCACATGAGGAGCCAGAGGGCACGGCTGTAGCTGCTCCATCACAGACCCTTGCTATGTGCTACAAGTATTACCTTGTGAAAAAATCTGTCAGACAAAATAACAGCATGTGTAGCTCCTGCATTCCTTTTGATGGCCTTTGATTCTTTGGACAGATGTTCCTATTGGGTTAAGTTGTTAAATATAGACCTTTCCCCCTTCCACCAGTAACTGATGCTCAGCTGGAATCCAACAGGGAGATGCCGTTCTAGTCTCCTGATGAGCAATTCAAAAGGCCTGTGGCACCTAGTAATATGCCTACTATTGCTAGGTAACATACACAGTGCTTCCTAAGAGCCAGGCAACGCTCTAAGTACTTTCTCTACATTAACTTATTATCCTCCCAACATTCCTATGAGGGAGGTACCATTTTTATTATTGATATAGGAGCTAGAAAGAAATTATTAGGCAGATAGTGTCAGTACAAGGAGTCTTCGGCAAGGCTTCCCTTTTAATAAAAGTAGCCCCCAAATCATTTCTTTTCTAACAAAGAGCAGCCTGAAAAACCGAGCTACAGACATAGATAAACAAGCTGGAAGCTTGTACAGGTGAATGCTGGCAGCTGCGCCAAGAGAAGGCTACCTGGAAGCCAGGTATGTTCAACACGGAGGCTCCATCTTCCCTTTTCTTTGTCACCACGTGTACAATAAGGACGAGGCAACATGGCACCAGCCAGCTAGAATAACCATCTGCATAATAAAAGATTAGGGTGGAGTGGCCAGCTTCTTTGCACACTTGCAAATGGCATGCCTCCTCCAACCGATCTTTCATCCCCTGTGTAAATCACATACCCCCTCCTTAAGTTCATTTATTAAACTTTCTGCATTTCACTGCGGAAGTGGCAACCCATTTTCTCCAGGAGCCCTTTCTGTGCAGAGAGCTCTTCTCTTTCTTTTGTCTATTAAACTTCCACTCTTAACCTCACTCTGATGTGTCCACGTCCTAGCTTTCCATGGCTGTGGGACAACGAACCTCGGGTATTACCCCAGACAAACAACGCTGCTTCACTATTTATACCTATTTTACAAGTGAGGACATTGAGGCATGCAGATCAAATGTTTTGAACAATATGCTACACCTGCTTTGAGGCTGACACATGAAAGACTGACAGTGTTCAGGAGTGGGCTCAGGTAACTGCTCAGCAGTCGGCTCAGGTAACTGCTCAGCAGTCATACCTGAAGAAGCCTCTGCTATTCTCCTTGCCACTGATGCCAGCAATCATCACAAAGGATCAGATGGGTTTCTGAAGTGTTTTGGTTTTAATTACTGCATTTCTTATGGATTCCCCGTGAATCCTACCACATAGATAACTGAACAACTGTACTACTGAAACATTCTGTACTTATTACAGTTTTTTATGGGGGAGTGTATTTTGTAAGAATTCTGTAAGAATTTTTTTTCAGATCCTAGGACCAGGAAAAACTCTGTTCCTACTGACCTGTTGCTTTCCTTACAATCTAATGGACACTGTGAACCCTACAACAACTTGTGTTTTCTACATTGCTTTAGCCACCAGGAACACCAGAAGCAAATCTGAGGCTCACCTCTTTCAACTTTACAGATCATTTTCGCTGCTTGTTGAGTTGCTGCCTGCTAAATTTACCCCTCATTTGATGTACTCTCCCTTGTTTACTTTTTTCCCTTCAATCTAAATCCCTCTTCCGTTATTTTATCTGGTGGTACATATTTCACATTACAGCTTCCTGTGGAAGGTGAGAGAAACATGTAAGCATAAAAACCAACTCACCAGCAGCAGAAACAATTGGGTATTTTACATAGGCTTTAGGGTTTTAGATGAACCTGATCCAAATGTGGTTAGATATTCATTTCTTCATCTCTAAAAACAGAGACAACAACATCAACCACAATACCTATCTCACAGGTTATTTCTGGGCATTAGAGCACTTGACACATAGTCTGAACTAAGTAAATTAGTATTGATTTTTTAATTTTGTTTTATTATTATTTTTTTTTCGAGATGGAGTCTCGCTCTGTCACCCAGGCTGGAGTGCAGGGGCATGATCCCAGCTCACTGCAACCTCTGCCTTCTGGGTTCACGCCATACTCCTGCCTCAGCCTCCCGAGTAGCTGGGACTACAGGCGCCCACCACCACGTCTGGCTAATTTTTTGTATTTTTAGTAGAGATGGGGTTTGTCTGTGTTAGCCAGGATGGTCTCAATCTCCTGACCTCGTGATCCACCCACCTCGGCCACCCAAAGTGCTGAGACTACAGGCGGGAGCCACCGCGCCCGGCCAGTATTGATTTTTTTTTAAGAGACAGAATTTTGCTGTCATCCGGGCTGGAGTGCAGTGGTACAATCATAGTACTCCAGCTTCAAACTCCTGGTACAATCATAGCACCGCAGCCTCAAACTCCTGCGCTCAAGCAATCCTCCTGCCTCAGCCTCATGAGTAGCTAGGACTACAGGCATTCACTATCATGGCTGGCTAATTAAAAAAAAAAATTTTTTTTTGTAGAGACAGAGTTTCGCTATGTTGTCCAGGCTGAACTCGAACTCCTGGCTTCAAGCAGTCCTCCTGCCTCAGCCTCCCAAAGCACTGGGATCATAAGCATGAGCCACTGCACCTGGCCCAGTATTGATTATTAATATAAAACATAGTAATAATAATCATTATAATGTTGCTAGTACTGATTATTATTAACCATCAAAGACAAATGAGGTAAACACCACCATCCCTACCTTACAGATGAGAAAACTTTTCCTAACTGAGGTGAGGCAAGTCACCCAAGAGGATGCAGATAATATATAATATGAGGCAGAAATACAAATACATTTTGACAGGGAATCCATTTCTGTTACACAGATCTTTAAAAAGAGCAATGGTATTAGTGCATGTCTATTTCCAGTGAGCTAGAATACAAAGCTAAGCATAAGGGAAACCCAGAGTTCGTAACTCTGGGTTGACTTAGACTTGTTGAAAATGTGGTTTCTGCACAGAAGGTCATCTTCTGTTTGTTCCTGCTCCAACTCCTCCATCCCACTCTGCCTAAGCTGGCCTCAGTCTACAATCAGGCCAAGAAGCTGCTGCCACAGACGAGCCATCACAACACAGTTTTTATTTTCAAGTGCATGTTGGGGTATAGTGAACAGAAGAGGTCATTCCTGGTTGGGGAGACTCTGCCCTGCACCTCCCTGACACGACAGAGCACGTTCTCAGATGACAAGAGGGCAATGAAGTGAGTTATTCAGCAACTTCAAAAGGTGGTAAACCTGCTGTCTATCTTTCATTTCAAAACCAATAGGAACAAAAATGAAAACGTCTCTCCCTCAGTAATCAACCATGAGCATTTAAAGTGCTCATTCCAGCAATGACAGTGAGATACAGAGAACGCTTATTCTGGTGTCAAGTAGAAAGATTTAATCCACCCCTTTCATTTTATTCTTACCTCAGGAATAAAGAACATCATCAACTTTCTAAGTGACCTGGCTTGGAAGAGTGGATGAAGGCTATTGAAAAGAAACAAAGGAAGGTACACCATCTTTTCTGATCTCTCATATTATATATTTAAAAAATAAAATAAAATTTGGCCTGATGGTGCTTACCAAGGTCCTATGGTCTGAATGTTTGTGCTCTACCCCACCAAAAATTCCTATGCTGAAATCCTAATCCCAAATGTGATGGAATTAGGAAGTGGGGGCCTTTGGGAGATAAATGGGATTAGTGCCCTTATAAAAGAATCCAGAGAGACGGCTGCCCCTTTCACCCACCGTGTGAAGACACAGCAAGAACGTGTCATCTTGGAATCGGGAAATGGGCTCTTATCAGACACCGAATCTACCAGCACCTTGATGTTAAGCATCGCAGCCTCCAGAAGTGTGAGGGATAAATGTGTTGTTTATAGCTGCCGAGTGTATGGTATTTTGTTATAGCAGCCTGAAAGAACTTAGATACAAGGTCTCAGAAATATCCTTGGTTCTTTGAGAATTTAATCAGCTTAACTATGATTGAATCTGGGGGAGAAATGAAATGCCCAGATTAGCCACCTGGGAGAGGCCAAACTGTTTCTAACGATTGACTTTATGGTCACTAATAGCTAGGGATTCCCACTTTATCTTTTACTTGACGATATAGATGTTAAATCTTTGGGACTTGATTTGTGAGGCAGGCCAGTTTGAATGGCTGAACACTCCGGATCTGTCTAGGTTTGTAATTTTCCCTCCCTGAAGTGTCTCTGCTGTGAGGATTGTGAGGCAAAATCTGGATGCTCAGATTCTGGGAGGGTTCCCTGACTCTTGCCAGAAAAGAGGTGAAGAAATTATTCCTAAAATATTCAACAACTACCTCTCAGAGTGCAGAAGGAAGGAGAAAGCAAAATGTGTTTTCAAGAGGAGTGGGTGGTCACTCAAAGTAACTTTCTTGGGCAGGAAAACTGTCACAGTAGTCAAAACAGTTGCCTTAGCAACTAAAATAAGGAAAAATTAAAGAGGAACAACTTAGAGTTATGGAGGCAAGTAAACAGGATTCTTAATAAATATTTACAACAAATATTAAAAACACATTATGTGGCTGTCCCCTTATAAAAAAATCCTAAGAAAAACAGGAGACGTGCTTTGTAGTTGCACCGGAAACACCGCCGCAAACTGATAAGTTCTTCTCTTTAGCAAAGCATTTCTAATTAAAACACAATTAGTTCCAGCATAATAAATTACACTGAGCAAGTAATTAAAAATACAGTGACATAGAAGATGTTTCTGAAAAGGCAGGTCTATGAAAAAATATTTTAAACTATTGATATATGGAGATAATAGACAATGCTGAATACAGTCATTGAAAGAAAAGGAATCTCAAATGACTTTTATGGAACTTCCCTTTAAATATATGCATTTCTCATTTAAATAATGCAGCTTTTGAAAATGCTTTTTTTTTTCCACAAGAGCTGCATGATACGTCACTCCAGTTGGACTTTTGTCTTCTGAAATAGCTTATATTTAGGCCTTGAAGATACATAGTCCCCACTGGCTCTTAGGGTCAATGCTGGCTCTGTCACTTTTTATTGTGTCTAAAATAAGTGCAGCAATTACTGGAACATCACACAAGAACCACTGCTACCACCTAGAGAATTCTGCAGTGAGCTCAGAGTCGGCCTCAGGAAATGGCAGCAGAGTCCTGGAGGCTTATCCTGAGGACCTCTTACCCTGAGGGAAGGGCTTCTCCATCTAGAAACAAACCCCCAAGACATTTCTTAGGGAAATGAGAATGGGAAGATTGTATTTTTCATATTATTTCCCCCACATTCCCCAAGGAAAGTATTTACCAGGGCTTTTTTAGGATTTGTTGTTGTTGTTGTTGTTGTTTTTGAGACAGACGGAGTCTCACTGTGTCACCAGGCTGGAGTGCTGTGGCATGATCTGGGCTCACTGCAACCTCTGCCTCCCGAGTTCAAGCGATTCTCCTCCCTCAGCCTCCCAAGTACCTGGGACTACAGGTGCATGCCACCATGCCCAGCTAATTTTTGTATTTTTAGTAGAGACAGGGTTTCACCATGTTGGCCAGGCGTGAGAGCCACTATGCCTGGCCTTTCTTTTTTAAATTTCTTTCTTTTTTTTTTTTTGAGACAGGACCTCACTCTATCACCTAGGCTGGAGTGCAATGGCACAATCATAGCTTACTGCAACCTCTAACTCCTGGGCTTAAGCAATTCTCCTGCCTCAGCCTCCCTCCTGAGTAGCTGAGATTACAGGCAAGACAGAATTGGAAATGTGAGCAATTCATTAGGGCAAATGCCTGTGAAAGAGAAAGGGGAGAGAAACCGAGTGACAGGGAGAGCCTCCAAACCAGACCTCAGAACAAACACCTGAGAGAGGAGAGGAGGGAGCAGGGAGAACTGGGGAGGAATTGTCTCAGCTTGCAGTACAGCTGAGAACATTGCTGGATTGCAGCTGCAGAGCACAGAACGCCCACCAGAGGAGCCTCACTTGGGCAGGAAAGGCCCGGTTGTAGCAGCTTGCCATGTTCAGTACAGCCTGGGCAGGGACATTTTGAGGGTGCTGAAGCCCCTGCAGCAAAACTGTCCAATGAGGGGACTCCTGGGGCAGCTGTCTCTTGAAGGGAGATTTAAGCGACACACCTCCATAGCTGCCACAGATAGTGTCTCTGGCTTAACCTTTCTCCACATTCCAAAGTGACATTTTCAGTTCCAGTTCTTTGGGGCTTTAAAATTCCTTAAAAATTAGGAACCATGGAAATATCAATGAATTTCAGTCTCAGATAAGTAACTAAGGAATTGCTGGATCATAGTAGGTACTTATGAAATATGTTGAGTGATGAATTAATTCCCTGGTGGGGATACAGCAGGAAACAAAGTCTACTCTCAGGGCTTATCTTCTAGAAGGACTTCAGCAATGAACAAAAAAGAGTAAGTTATCAGGTAGTGATAAATGTAACAAATAAAACATCCAGAAGGGTCAGGAGCCTGTGTGTGTAGGTGAGTAAGAAGGCCTCTTGGAGAATGTGATATTTTAGCAGAAACAGAATGAAGTGAGGAAGTGAACCATGAGGACTGTACAGAGGAGAGTAGTCCAGAGGGAGAACAGCAAGTGTAAAGGCCCTGAGGTCAGAGTGTGCCTAGAATGCTCAGGGAATATCAATGGGACAGCGAAATGGTAGGTCATGTAGGGGACTTGCAGGACACAGAAAGAACTTTGGAAATTACTTGGAATGAGGTAGAAACCCATTAAAGGTTTAAACCAAAAGAAGGGCATAATCTGACTTCCATTTTTAAAAAATCCATCTTACTTATTCCTTATGATGGCAATGCGAGGTAGGTATTATCACTCCCATTTTTCAAACAAGGAAGCTCTGGCTTAGTGCTTGGTGGGTGTTAAGACTGACTCATGGTCACATCTCTTGAGTAGCAAAGCCAAAACTGAACCTATTTCTGTTTAACTCCAAATGCATTCCCTTAACCAACTATGTGTATTTCAAGCTTTTGGATAGAGTTCTTTGGCAAAGATTTTGCCTTAAATACCACTTAGTACAAAAACCCTTTCTGTATTTGCAAACAATATCCTGGCAACTTGGCTTTTGGTGAGCATTCAAAAACTAGTCTCCTTTTCACATGTCTACAAAGTTAAGAGGATCACCTGCCCTTTCAGGTACTTGGGAGAAGAAAAGTTGACAGCAGAAGAGCCGTGGAGGTGCCAGCATGCTGTCCTCAGCGTAACTCTGCAGTAGAAAGGGAATGCAGGCTGGACCTGGGAAGCTATACTGACTCTGCTCATCTGCTTCAATTAACGTTCTTGACAAAGCAGCATTTCGGAGCAAGTGCTTACTATTTATGGCTTTAAGAGAAAGTATTTTATAAATTATATGCTCCTTGTTAGTTTATCAAAATAAATATTAAAAAGATAGGCTTTCTCGCTGACAATATTTTATGTCTATGTCCATCAATTGAAAGAAAATATTATAATCTTTCCATATAGTATGTTTTACCTAGTTTTTCTCCCCCCTCAAAAATTAAAGACTAGGGGCCAGGCACAGTGGCTCATGCCTATAATCCCAGTACTCTGGGAGACCAAAGCAGGAGGCTCACTTGAGCCCAGTAGTTCAAGACCTGCCTGGTCAACATAGTGAGACCCTGTCTCTACAAAAAAAAAAAAAAAAAAAAAATTACCTGGGTGTGGTGGCTCTGCCTGTAATCTCAGCTACTCGGGAGGGAGGCTGAGGCAGGAGAATTGCTTAAGCCCAGGAGTTAGAGGTTGCAGTAAGCTATGATTGTGCCATTGCACTCCAGCCTAGGTGACAGAGTGAGGTCCTGTATCAAAAAAAAAAAAAGAAAAAGAAAAAAAAGAAAGGCCAGGCATAGTGGCTCTCACGCCTGTAATACCAGCACTTTGGGAGGCTGAGGCAGGCAGATCATGAGGTCAAAAGTTCGAGACCAGCCTGGCCAACATGATGAAACCCCGTCTCTACTAAAAATACAAAAATTAGCTGGGCATGGTGGTGCGCACCTGTAGTCCCAGGTACTTGGGAGGCTGAGGCAGAAGAATCGCTTGAACTTGGGGGGCAGAGGTTTCAGTGAGCCCAGAGCATGCCACGGCACTCTAGCCTGGTAACACAGTGAGACTCCGTCTGTCTCAAAAAAACAAAAAACAAAAAACCTAAAAAAGCCCTGGTAAACACTTTCCTTGGGGAATGTGGGGGAAATTATATGAAAAATACAGTCTTCCCATTCTCATTTCCCTAAGAGAACTAGACTAAAGACACCTAGACTTAGTAGTATAATACTTATGGTCTAGAATAAGTAATGCAAACGGTGAGTAAAAAGTTAAACAGGTCTTTGGTTCCAGCCTATTAATGAACTTTAGAAAGACTTTTTAATTATGTATTTTATACATCATATATATCTTCAAAAACATGTTTCTCTGCTGACAGCCATTCTGGGTCATAAAGCTGTGTGACCTGTGTATGTTCTCTTTAGCAATACATTAGTTCTGGACGCTAGCTCCATCACGTACTACATGTTGATTAACAAGCAATTCTTAAGTGACCTAAGCTTCTCTTTCCTCATCTGTAAACTGTGGAAAATCTCATTTAGCCCTCACCACCACCTGAGGGTTTAAAGAGATGACTGATGTCAAGTACTTTGCACTGTGTCAAGGGTTCAATAAATCTAATATGTTCAGCCTAGATAAAGAAGTCTCTTTTATTCAACAGTCTTCACCCTTTTCTCTGTGTTGCCTGTTTGAGGAAGATTAGCTGTAAAGAACTTTAAATGGATCTAATTTTGTTTCCTTCTAGTAAGTCTACAATTCCTTACCTTTCCCTAGGCCTAGGTTCTCAAACTTGAGCTGCATCATCAGAATCACTGAGAGGGCTCTTAAAACACAGATTGCTGGACCCTCCCCCCAGAGTTTCTGATTCTGTAGGTCTGGGGTGGGGCCTAATAATCTGCATTTCTAGCAAGCTCACAAATGTTGCTGATGCTGTCTGAAACCATACTTGGAGATCCACTGTAGGCTAGCTGGCAGGCCATTTTTCTGCTAAGTCTGTAACCAGCCTGTGAAACCTCAAGCAACATGCTTAACCATTTTAATCCTCAGTTTTGTAAACTGCAAAAGGAAGCTAAAAAGACCTACTTAAAACAGGGTTGTTTCGAGGCTTAAGTGAAATAATGCTTAAATCAGAGGCACTGGAGCCAGAACCACTCCATCTTGAACAGGGCTGGGTAAAACGAGGCTGAGACCTACTAGGCTACATTCCCAGGAGGTTAGGCATTCTTAGTTACAGGATGAGAGAGGAGGTCAGCACAAGACACAGGTTACAAAGACCCCACTGATAAAACAGGATGCACTAAGGAAGCCGGCCAAAAGCTGCCAAAACTAGGATGGCTAGAAGAAAGTGACCTCTGGTTGTCTTCACTGCTCATTATATGTTCATATGAATGCATTAGCATGCTAAAAGACATTCTTACCACTGCCTTGACAGTTTACAAATGCCACGGCAATGTCCGGAAGTTACCCTATATAGTCTAAAAAGGGGAGGAACCCTCAGTTCCAGGAATTACTTCCCCTTTCCTGGAAAACTCATGAATAATCCACCACTTGTTTAGCATATGATCAAGAAATAACCATAAAAATAGCTAACCAGCATCTGTCAGGGCTGCTCTGTTTATGGAATAGCGATTCTTCTGTTTCTTTACTTTCTTAATAAACTTGCTTTCACTTTACTCTGTGCACTCACCTCTAATTCTTTCTTGGGCGAGATCCAAGAATCCTCTCTCTTAGGGTCTAGATCAGGATACTTTCCTGATCATTTATACCATTTGTCAAGTGCAAGGTCCAGCACCTAGTGAGTGCTCAAAGTAGTAGTGATTTACTACTGTCTGTGCTAAAAAACACCTGTCATGATTAATTTTATATGTCAACTTGACTGGGCTAAGGCTGATGGCTGATGAAATATTACTTCCGGGTGTGTCTGTGAGGCTGTTTCTGGAAGAGATTTGTGTTTGAATTGATGGAATGAATAAAGAAGATCTGCCGAATACAGGAGGGCACCATCCAATCCACGGAGGGCTTGAACTGAACAAAATGGTGGAGGAAGAATGAATTCACTCTGTCTTGATCTGGGACATTCAACTTGGATACTGATGCCCCTGGTTCTGGGGCCTTTGGACTCAACTGACACTTACACACCATTGGCTCCCCTGGTTCTCTGGCCCTTCAGGTTTGAACTGGAACTGCCCTACTCGTTTTCCTAGGCCTCTAGCTTATAGACAGACGATATAAGATTTCTCAGCCTTCATAATTGTGTAAGCCAATCCTTCATAATAAATCTCTTCCTACCTATATATCTCTATATATCCCATTGGCTCTGTTTCTCTGGAGAACCCTCACTAATACAGCACCCTCTCAAAAACAACCAAAACAAGTAATGACAAAAATAATTTCTGAAAATTTTCAGGAATAGGGAATTCAGTGGCATGAAATTGCACAGGTTTAAAGAAGTGCAATTTTATCAATCGAGAAGGGACTTCAAAATTATTAACTTGATTTTTTAAAAAAATTTCTTCTCCCTAGACTGCTCAACAGAAAAAAGAATTCATTTTAACATGTGCTGTATATTTCATCTGACTGTTCATTTGTCCACACTTGAATGAACTCTGTTAATTCAATGGCTACACCACATGCATTAAGAGAGTGCAATTCCAAAGAGGTGTGCAAAGAGAATGAAACCAGGATGTCCTTAGGGTCTCTTCACCACTAGCCTGATGATCTGCAAGACTGCACTCATCAACCCTAATTAAAAGGATGCCCTGGCCAACACCCTCCTGTTCACCTGCGGCCCACAGACACGGCTTGAGGTAGCTAATATTGAGCATTTTTCTCTTTATACTGCAGGTTGAGAAGAAGCAATAGAGAATCAGCACTGTAATTTTAGCCATTGTGTTTAATTCTTTAGCATAGTACAGTAGTACTTGAGAGACCTAAGTAGATCCTCAGCTAGTTCCTTATGAAACTGCCTTTGCAAAAATTGTATCAGTGAGAAAAATTATAACAGTTAGCTAAGCTAACCCACCTCCCACCTTGCCTTTTCCTTAATTATTCCTGGGCTTTTGGATGAAGGTAACTTTGGGAGATGTTTAGGCTACAGTTTAAATGATAACAGGCATTGCCCAAAAACCAACCACTTCTGTTTGAGAGGAGGGCCTGAGTCCTGCTAAGGTGCAGACATATATGACTGTCAGCCATTATTCTGGATGTTAGAAGACATGCAATGTCCCCAGTTACTTCTGCAAATAACATTGCCATTGTAGAAACTAAGACTGGCCTTTTGAGATATCTTTTCAGGTTTTTTTTGCATGCCTCACACCCATGTCTCCACCTGGACCCACCTGGACTTGCCAACCCCACTCCTATGGCCCCACCCAGAAGCGATTCAGCATGATTTCATCCCTGCCCCATCCAATCAGCAGAAGCCTAGACCCCGCACCTCCTCTTCCCTCAAACTGCCTTTAAAAAACCCCTAAACTAGCAGCTTTGGACAAGATGACTTGAATACTAACTCATCTCTCAAGTGGTGTGGCTGGCCTTGTCTCTATTAAACTCTTTTATTTTTATTTATTTTTTTTTTGAGACAGAATCTTACTCTGTCACTGTCACCCAGGCTGGAGTGCAATAGCGCAATCTGGGCTCACTGCAATCTGTGTCCCAGGGTTCAAGTGATTCTTCTGCTTCAGCCTCCCGAGCAGCTGGGATTACAGGTGCCTGCAACCAAGCCCAGCTAATTTTTGTATTTTCAGCTGGGATTACAGGTGCCTGCAACCAAGCCCAGCTAATTTTTGTATTTTTAGTAAAGGCAGGGTTTCACCATGTTGGCCAGGCCGGTCTCCAACTCCTGACCTCAAGTGATCTGCCCATCTTTGCCTCCCAAAGTGTTGGGATTACAGGCGTGAGCCACCACGCCTGCCCAAACTCTTTCTTTACTACAATGCCATGTTCTTTCTTTGTGCAGCTGGCAGCAAGAACCCCTAGGTGCTTACACTTATATTTTAATTTAATTGCCCATATTTTTTCCATACTTTCTTCCTGTCTTGTGTTGTTTCCACAAGCTCCTTGTAAATCTAGTGGGACCCCAGATTTCCCTGTCTAGTTTCCTAATGGATGCATCTCACATTTTTCCATGAATAAGACGTCCTTCTTGCATCCTTGAAGCATGGATCTCAAGGATTACCATTTTCCATGAAACTGACTGAGACACTATTTCATGGGGGAGATGCTTCCATTCCTCCAGGAAATAGAGTTATCTTCTACTTTTGTGAAGAAATAAAAGCAAGCCCAAAGAAACTTCAGAGAGGGAAGAGACATGAAAATGAGAAGAGCAAGCCCCTGCCCTACCCCACAAAAATGAGAGCATCTTAGAAAAGAAAGGTGAGCAGTCTGTTATGTATGCAGCAAAAGGTGATAAACTGATACAATGATCTATCAAGATAAGGAAGAGAAATAGAGGGTGACTAAATTAAAAATACAACACAGTAGTAAAAGAACACGAGGAGTAAAAATAATTACTTGAAACTAGAATTATTTCATTACTACCATTACCATCAAAACCAATTTGTTACTCATTTCTATGTGGCATTGTTTGTCTTCTAATCCAAGTGCCTGCTCATTTTTTTACATATTATGTTCTATGGCTGCTATTGGGCTACAATGACAAAGTTGAATAGCTGTAACAGAGGCTGCAGGACTCATAAAATCTAAACTATTTAATATGTGGTCCCTTACAGAAAAAGTATGCTGACCCAGTTCTATGACTTTTCAGCATGAGATGACCTACAATACAGACCTTTCCTTAAAGGTCTCATGCTTGGATGACAATGAGCTCTGAGCTTTGGGAGCATGAGAGACCAGATAATATTATCAGCACTGTTATTTCAAAGGCTGGTCTAGAGGAAGGAACAGGCCTGAATGTTGTTTTGGGTTTTTCTTTGCAAAAATCTGGCTGATCTTAGTTTTTGCTGCTTTGGGTTGTTTCAGTGTTCGGGCCAACTGAGGTGGTGCTCAGATGCCTGGCCTTGGCTTTCTTCTCACATCAGGAAGAAGTCACACAGCTGTGCTGACAAGAAAAGTGTGTGCAGACTCGTAGAATCCTAAGGAGAACAACTGATATTCTTCGACCCATCCACCTTAACATATCCTATTTTTCTGGCACAGAGATATTAAGAAAATCGCCCATGGAGACATAGTCAGGAAAAGGAAGGATTAAGCCTCTAGCTCACCTTCCTTAAAGTCCTGGTCTTCTCCAACCTTTTGGCCCCCGCCTACGAATCATCCTTTGTACGGCCTCCAGAGTAACTGTCTCCAAAATATAAATCAGATCATGCCAGTCCCTGTTGAAAATGGCTTCCCATAGCAATCAGAACGAAATCCAAACACCTCGGCCTGGTTCTACACCATTTATTCTCGTACTTAAGTGTGCACCGGACTTCCTTGAAGGGCTTGTTAATGCACATACGCCTGGGCCAGTTCCTGGAGTTTCTGATTCCATAGGTCCGTGGGATGGGCCTGAGAATGCGCATCTCTAATAAGGTTCTGGGTGGTGCTGATGATGCTGGCTTGGGGACCACACTTTGAGAGAACTACTGCTCCACATGAGGGGCTTCTGCCTGCTTCTCAGAATTCTCCTCTTACCATGCCCTGACCATGATGCTCACTCCACCCTTGGTGCTCTTCTTTCGACATGCCAAGACTATGTTTGCCTCAGAGCCTAGCATTTGCTGTTTCCATGTCTTGGAATGCTTTTCCCTTAGTTCTTGGCCAAACTGGCTCTTTTTTTTTAATTTTTTTTTAGACAGAATCTCGCTCTGTCACCCAGGCTGGAGTGCTGGAGTGTAGTGGTGCAATTTCAGCTCACCGCAACCTCTGCCTTCCAGGTTCAAGCGATTTTTGTGCCTTAGCCTCCTGAGTTGCTGGGACTACAGGCGCGCACCACCATGCCTGGCTAATTTTTATATTTTTAGTAGAGATGGGATTTTGCCATGTTGACCAGGCTGGTCTCGAACTCCTGATCTCAGGTGATGTGCCCGCCTCAGCCTACCAAAGTGCTGGGATTATAGGTGTGAGCCACCGCACCTGGCCAATCTAGCTACTTCTTATCATTCAGCTACAACTTCAAATGCCACCTCCTGAATAGGGCCTGCCCTGACCACCCAACCCACAGCAATGTCCCCTCCCCTACTCCTCAATGTCTGCCTGTCTCTCTGATCCCTCTATCACTCCTTTTAGTAACATAAGAGTATTGAACACTGCTGGAAGCCATTCATTTCTATGCTTATTGGTTTATTGTTGGTCTCCTGCCGCTGGACCATACACTCCCAAAGGACTGAGACTTTGTTTGTCTTGTTCATTGCTTTATCTCAGCCTTCTAGAGCAGTGGTTCGCACCATGGATTAAGTTGTAATGTCTTTAAAATATTTCCGAATTGTTAAAGGGCCAACTGTACTCAAGATTGTTTATCATCATTAAGTTGCTATATAGCTTGTTGTAGCCTAATGATTCCAATATGATAATTCACATACAATATACAGAGTGTGTGAAAGACTCATATAAGTATACACATTTACGATCTTACCCCTAATTATAATTCAGAATATTCTGTCAGAGGTTCTTTTTCCTCAAACCTTTCTGTGTAAATAGACTTTCTGTTTATGTAGACGGGGTTTCACCACATCTCTACTAAAAATACAAAAGTTAGCCGGGCATGGTGGCACATGCTTGTAATCCCAGATACTTGGGAGGCTGAGGCAGGAGAATTGCTTGAACCCAGGAGGCGGAGGTTGCAGTGAGCCGAGATTGTGCCATTGCACTCCAGCTTGGGTAACAAGCACGAAATTCCGTCTCAAAAAAAAAAAAAAAATTCCTCTACCCTGAGGAATGCAGTATCACCCACATAAGAGGGTGAGTGAAGGAAGCCTGTGGCTGTGAGGGTCTTGGGGTCCTCATTCCTTCATCCCATCAGGCAGCAACAATCACCCTGAGAGAAGAGGACTGAGAGAGGAAGATGCGCCCATGTGTTCATCCTCTTGGATCATTTATTACGTTCTTCCCTTTCTATTCAATGTATTTTTAACTAGTATTAATGTGATTATATACAAAATGCTTCTTAGGTACTACAGAAGATATCACTTTTGCTTTTGGTTCTTCGTCATTTCAGAAAGAAACAATATAAATGCATCCATACATGTACCCCCTTCTCTGGCATTCTCTCCACCTTGCATCAGAGCTGTCCAGTTCCCGTGCTAGAAATTCCAACCTCATTCTACACTTATTCTCTCACATACTCTACATCCACCAGGTTAGAAAAATCTTCTCATTTATTCCTACACTCAAAATCCTCCCGTATTTCTCCATATGTGTGACTGACTGTCCATTAAGTCCTTCAAGCCCAACACTACCCTCCAGACCACTCCCACAAGGAATCCAGCCACATCCACTTGTCACTGGTCATCCAGAACTGATCACTGCCCTGCTGAAACCCCATCAAAGGTTCCCTAGAGCTTTCTGAATCAAATGCCAATGCCCTGGGCTGGAAAGTAAACCCATTGATGGTGTGGACACTGGCCATCTCTGTGCCTTCACCCCTGTACTCCACTGCCCTACCCTCTGCCCTAGCTGAATAATCCCCTTACCCCCTCAATAGAATGTGCTGTCATACTCATGCCCTTGCAGAAGCCCTGGCCTCTCCCTTCCTCTTAGCTGTGCTTTGAGTGGTTGACTGACTCACCTATCAAGACTCAGCCTGAAACGGGCCTCCTCATTGAGGCTTCTGGGGCCAGTCCCCCAGCCCTGCTGCCCCTTCCTCTCCTCTCACACCACAAGGAGATCATTCTACCACCTTTCTCATCACAATATGCAAGTGGAAGAAAGTGGAGGGGTGAGAGTGAAAGGGCTTCAGGGCCACATGCTGAAAGCCTAGAGTTTAAAACTGAGAAGCCCAGCCAGTGGTGGTGGTGGTATAGCGGTGAGTACAGCTGCCGTCCAAACTATGAAGCCAGTACTTACTGCAGTGCATAATAAAGTGGCACCAACAGGTTTCTGTTCCATATGTCCAACTCTAATAGAGACAGGAGCTTAAGAAAACAGGACTCATGGCAAGACAGCCAGTAACTAAACTAATTATCCACCAGGAATATGCAGAAATCGGTTTCTTGGAATAAAAACACAGCAATTTAACTCCACTTAACGCATTTTCACTACTTTTTCTCCCCCAACTCCAAATTTGAAATTATTTTATTTTTGGTTTGTGATTGGCTACTTTTATACTTTAAATCATATCTGCAAGCCTCTATTGTACATCAACTACCAACCTTCCCTCTTGCTGAGAGTATAAAGCCTCTGGACTTTCCTCTGTTTCTCCAAGTCCCTTCTAATTTCCAGCATCTGTCTGGCACCCTTACTTTAAATAGATAAAGGTAACAGCTTTTTTGTTATGCTTGGTCAAAAATAATTAAATGTTTTCTCTACCCTTAGGTTGATTATAAAAGTTGAAAAACTAATAGGTTGATTATAACAGTTGAAAAACTAATTTATTATGATTATTATCATTTTGATGACTGTAAGTATCTTTTAGTGTAAATACAGGTATATCTGGACATTGTTTTATAATTGAATTTAAATTATCTCAAGCTTAAAAATAATATGCAAAGATGGCCATCCCTCTTTTCATTGTTACATCAAAGCATGATTGAAGAGGCATACCTAAGAATGATTTACTTCTATAGAAAAATGTATTTTTGGTTTGACCTACTATTTACTGTTGTTTGGGACATAGATTCTTCGAAGTTTAATAGATAGCATTTTTCTGCTGTTATTCTATAATGATGTAGATGACTTGTGTCCAGTAGAAAAAGGCAAATCTATAATAGGTTAGAGTTTTATTGCCTTATAGGACATTAGCCAGTTTTGTATCTAATTGACAAAACTTACTTCACTTTTCCTTTCCTTTCCTACGTAAAATTCTCTTCCTCAAGTGCTCTTGGAACTAGCTTTATCATCCTGCTAATGTCCTCCCTGATTAGTTAAATATATCTTTTAATCAAAATACTTTATATGAGGCTTGTGTTTTTAAGTCTTTTGAAAATTGTATTTGGAAAGCGCTTTGCTTTGCTGATGAACAGCCTGTGGGGTGTAGGCTGCTTGAGCTTTTCTGAGCTTCATGGTGTGGCTGCTCACAATTTGATTTCAGAACCACCTTGGAAAGAGGCCAAAGTCAGCCTGTCCCACTGTGCCTGACTTTAGGTTTGTATTGACCCTGCACTTTGATACTCCTTTGATCCTGACACCTGCAATAATTGTCTCAGTTTTCCTCCACCACGTGTGTGTGAGTGCGTGCGTGTGTGTGTGTGTGTGTGTGTGTGTGTGTGTGTGTGTGTGTGTAGGGTGGAAGGTGGGGAGGCTAGTATAAAGACCAAGAAGACCAAGACTTTGCTAGGAAAAGGGACTCCATCTAGGCAGCTGGACTCAGATACAAGAAAGTCCCATGGGCAAGAAGAAGGGGTAGCCCGAGCTGGGATTTATGATGTGGGAAAGACGAGGTCAGTGGCTGAGGTGAGTCATCCATAAAACATTTGAACCCCTGCTCTGGCTGCCCCTAAGAAGAACTGGCTGATGAATTCTGGAGATTCCAACGGAATGCACTGAGAATGCTTCTTAGTGTCAAGAAGGGAGAATGGAATTTTAAAATCTGGTTGTAGTTTGAGTTGATTATCTATGCCATCCAATAAGAAAGCCACTAGGCCCATGTACCTATATGAATTTGAATTTAAATTATGTAAGATTAAAAACTTAAGTCCCTCAGTCCCAGTAGCCACATTTCAAATGCTGAACAGCCACATGTGGCTGCCATAACGGCAACACAAATGTAGACCATTTCTATCATTGTGGAAAGTTCTGTTGGTGAACACTTATCTATGATGGCAGTCTCCTTCTTAAGAATAAAGCTCTTTTTAGATTTTGTGTGTTTTAAGGACATACTTTGACTTTCAGGCTTATGCAAAAGGGAGGATCTCAGGAGAGTCTGAGTAGGAGAGTTTGAGGTGAAAGGGGAGCCAAACAGCTCCAGGATGAGGAGGGACTTGAATTTTGAAGTTTTCTTCTTTAGATTGAGAGACAGAAAATGTTTGACAGTTAAGAAAAAAGTATCTGGAAAAGTGAAAAAGGACTCTGAGTGTGATTAAAATAAAATAAAGGAAACAGGAACAGGAATCTTGATGGAGGAGAGGGACAAAGAAGAAAAAAGAGAGACACTCCTGGTTGGGCTGGCTAATGAAACTTATTCAGCATGATCTCCGATTTTTAATCTTAAAGTTGTCTTGGTGTGGTGTATGATGCAATTCTCCTCTGCTGCCACTAAATCTTCAGTAAAAAGTCTACTTTATACAACATCCTTGTATTTCTGGAATTTGATGTTAAAGTGGGTTTAGGGAAGGAAACAAATTGGAGTAGTCAACAGTCCTGGAAACTGAATGGTAGCCAAGCATTTGAGGACATAAGTCATCATCAAAAGTGGGTAAGCACCTAGGAATTCTAGGAAAGACTGGGAAGGCCCTGACCTGCCAGGGAATGGGTTCTTCAGATCTTTGATGTGGATATTATAGGAAAGTCAGGGGGCTGGTTGAGTTAGAGATATCTGGGTTGCATGTATTTTTAAAAACACTGCTATTTCTCTCCTCCACAAGAGACGAATCTGTCTTTTAAAGATTTAATGTTAAGCATCACTTAGGAAACAAAATATATTTTGCATTTAAGTAACGTGTAAGTCAAGTAAAGTTAGAAAAGTACAGAATTAGAAGTGTCATGGCAATACAATCACAGCCTACCACTTAGGTCATTTGTAAAAATCTGGCTGCCTCAAAAATAATTCTTCAGTAATGCAGAAATAATAAAATAAACTTTAAATGCATTTGCACTTACTACATTTATTGACTATTTTTAAAACAGTGCCTATTAAACATTTTTCCCCCACCTACTGACTGCTTACTCCCTGCTCCCTTTTTTTATTTATTTTTTTTTATTTTTTGAGACACAGCATCACTTTGTCACCCAGGTTGGTGTGTGGGGGCGTGATCTTGGCTCACTGCACCCTCTGCCTCTTGGGTTCAAGCGATTCTCCTGCCTCAGCCTCCCAAGTAGCTGGGACTATAGGCATGTGCCACCACACCTGGCTATTTTTTTTTATATTTTTAGTAGAAATGGGGTTTCACTGTGTTAGCCAGAATGGTCTCAATCTCCTGACCTACTGATCTGCCCACCCTGGCCTCCCAAAGTGCTGGGATTACAGGCATAAGACACTGTGCCCAGCTGCTTTCTTTAAACAAATACATGGAATACAATTTTATGTTTACCTGCTATTTGAGTTCATGATGATAACGTTAGTTATCATATGGTGCTGACAGCATTTATGCCCCTTCACAAAAGGTACCTTTGCTATGACACTTTAGGGATGCTTGGGTTTTGTTTCTCTAATCTTATTCCTCGCACTGGCTTTCAGCTGTAATCCCTCATGGCTGTTCATGTACCAACCATAGAAACGAACCTTTTCTGCTTACATGTTGTTGCCTTAAATGTTTTCATGGCTCTGGCTCTAAAGAACTGAGTCTTATAGGAGTGGGAAATAATTATTTTTTAAACTGGCTGTCATCCAGCTTGAAATATTCTTCAGCTTTGTGGTTTGGTATGTTATCATGAAGACGCATGTTTGCTTTATAAAGTTAAAATGTTTTTGCTCAAAATCCTAGTAAAATAGCACTTGAAAGAGTTGAAAGCTTAGTTACATTTTATTTAATACTTGTTCAAGGGTTCTTTTCTTCTAACTTTGCCTAGTTTGTAGAGGAATCCAGAGGAAAAGCAAATGCCTTTAGAAGCACAGGTGATCAGTATTTCCTAATATGAGCTGTGATGATTAATAATCAAAAAAAACACAAGCAATAAGAAGGATTCAAATGAATCTCTGGTTCATCAAATCACATTTCACTGTTGTCAAGTACTTTTTTCTCCAATAGCTTTTTCTTACATAACAGTAGGAGATATACTGAACCAATGATTGCATGTAATCTCTTCAAAATTACCTTCTCTGAATTATTAGTCTGAATTGGAATCAACTGGATCTAAAATCATTTTAGATGCTAGACATCCACAAAGAATTTGGTGGTTACAGGTATTCTGCTAGTCCCTGGAGAGAAAAAGATAAGTAAAATATGATCCCTGACTTCAAGAAACTCAGAACATAGTTGGAGAGAAAGAAACATTAAATAAAATGTGAAGGCAGTGTAAAATATGCAAGGATAGGTTAGTGGTGGCAAAAAATAAGTTATCGCCTCTTATTCATTCAATGGGTCAAGGAAGATATCACAGAAGTGGACATTTCTCATCTGGGTTCTGAGATGAGAGGAGTTCACCAATCAAACCAGTTGGAATAAATACATTTCAGGAAGAGGGAGTAGCATAAACAAACCATGTAGTAGAATAGTTTATGGGGGAAACTGTAAGTGGTTTGCTATAGTTGAACATACGCTGTATGTTGGAAACTGGAGAGAAATGAAGGTGAGGTAATTAAGCAGGAGCCAAATTATAGAAGGCCTTGTATTTCATTCTGTGAACTTCCCTTTACGCTACAATGGGAAGTGATGGAAGCATTTTAAACACAGGAGAAATGGGATCTGCTTTATATTTTAAAAATATTACTCTATGATCTCAACCATGGGAGAGAGAAAAAAAAGAAAAACAAATATGAAAAAAGACTAGAAGAAAACTGCATAAGAATTAACAGTGCTTGTCTCTGGATGGCAGAATATTATTCTGTTTCATCTTATAGCAGAATGCAGTTCACTGTTATTTTAATTTCAGACATATGAACAGCTATTACTTCAATATTTTAATTCAAACAAGGAATAGTAACCATGTTTAGGTCCATCCTTAGCATTTGCAATTTTGTTTACTTAAAAAGTGACTATCCTGTAAATCTAGAGATGC